>NC_000012.12:68823764-68975279 GCF_000001405.40 Homo sapiens
AAAATCCTTTTTAATGGTGAGTGGCTGCAACATCGCATTAAGGAAGATTCTGAAGTATCTGCGGGGAAGAATGCAGTGATAAGGGAATGACAGCATGAGTCCTGCTTTGGCTAGACCACAGGATCCTTTACAGTCTGAACCTGCCTACATTCCAGTAATAATGAACTGCTTGTGGTGTCCTGCAACAGGAACTGTTGTTAGTTTGCTTTTGGATACTTTTTCACATGGCGTTTTCTTGGTCTGGAATGGCCTTTCCTAGCCCTATTTTCATATTGTCCTACAAAATATTTCCTGATTCTTTGTTTCTCAGACACTCCCTGTCCCTACCAAAATAATGACTCTCCTGTCTCTCTGCTAATTTATCTAACAGTCTTTTAATGTCTTGATTATACTTTACTCTTCTACATTAAAGTTGAATTATTTTATTTACATCTGCAACATTTAGTATGAGGATGCCACCTGGAAAATACATGTTTAATGTTTATTGAAAGGTTAAATTGCATAAGGGTTTGTGTTAGACTGATAGCATATCTACTGAGTAGCGCCCCGCCGCCCCCCGCCCACCACCAAGTTTCTGATCCTTTTTCTTTTCTCTCAGAATCATCGGACTCAGGTACATCTGTGAGTGAGAACAGGTGTCACCTTGAAGGTGGGAGTGATCAAAAGGTAATCTAAGTAAATTTCTCATTCTAATGTAATATTATTTGCAAATTGGAAAGGTTATTTACAACAAGTTAGCTTACTGGTTATGTTAAGTTTGTTGTATTTTATTTTTTTCCTAAATGCTTAGGACCTTGTACAAGAGCTTCAGGAAGAGAAACCTTCATCTTCACATTTGGTTTCTAGACCATCTACCTCATCTAGAAGGAGAGCAATTAGTGAGACAGGTATATATGAATATTTATTTGACGCATTCACACAGCTTTTTGATATTCTTTCTCTAATGAAATTAGTGCTTTTAGACTTAATTAAATTGTTCCCTTTTTTTGGTTGAGATGAATTAACCTCTGAGTTTTTTTCATTCGTGATTTTATTTGATTTACAAATTGCTTATTTAGCAATATTTTTCTGGCTGACTACAGCAGGCACAGTTTACTGTGCCCCACTGGAGTTTATAGTTAGCCAACTCTCTGTTAAGATAGTAGGAGGTGGCTGGGGTGTGGTGGCTCACGCCTGGCTCACGCCTGTAATCCCGGCACTTTGGGAGGCCGAGGCTGGCGGATCACGAGGTCAGGAGTTCGAGACCAGCCTGACCAACGTGGTGAAACCCCATCTCTACTAAAAAAAATACAAAAAGTAGCTGGGCCTGGTGGCGCACACTTGTAATCCAGCTACTCAGGAGGTTGAGGAAGGAGAATCACTTCAACCCGGGAGGTAGAAGTTACAGTGAGCCGAAATTGCGCCACTGCACTCCAGCCTGGGTAACCGTGTGAGACTTCGTCTAAAAAGAAAGATAATAGGAGACAGGCATATAAACTCTATTTTCACCATTATTCTTAGTCACCTTAACAGTTAAATTTTTAAATTGTTATTTTTAATAAATGGTAGTACATACCTATGAGTTTTAAAACAGAAAGTAAATAGCATTTTAGAAATGAAGAGATAAGGGCCGGGCGCAGTGGCTCACGCCTGTAATCCCAGCACTTTGGGAGGCCGAGGCGGGTGGATCATGAGGTCAGGAGATCGAGACCATCCTGTCTAACATGGTGAAACCCCATCTCTACTAAAAATACAAAAAATTAGCTGGATGTGGTGGCGGGTGCCTGTAGTCCCAGCTACTCGGGAGGCTGAGGCAGGAGAATGGCATGAACTGGGGAGGCAGAGCTTACAGTGAGCCGAGATCACGCCACTGCACTCCGCCTGGGCGACACAGTGAGACTGTCTAAAAAAAAGAGAGAGAGAGAAAATAGTTGACAGAGAGAAAATAGTTGAGAACAGTTAGTAGACGTAGTAGACGAGAAGGCTGTTGCCTGAGGAAGTCGCAGTAACTAAGACCGTATGATTCAGATGAAAGAGAATGTCAGATCAGTGAAACAGAATAAATGAACCCAGACCAGAATCTCGTACATGCGGGCAGAAGACAGGAAGGGCAGAGGTGTCTAGGGCAGAGGTGGAACTAGAACAAATGGTAGTTACTTGGGGAAAAGGTGAAGTTAGATCTGTACCTTATGCCAAAATGAATTTCAAATGAGTTTAAAAGTTAAATGAAAAATAGAATACAACATATTTGAAAGATAGTCACTTTAAATTTGACTGTTAATATCTGTATTACATAAAAAGTCTTCCCAAATCAATAAGGAAAACATTAAAACTTCAAATAGCAAAAAGGGCAGACAGTTCACAAAAATTTCTCACAGTAAATACGAATGACTAATAAATATGGGGAGAGGGTGAATTTTGGTGATTTTTAGCTTTACAGATAGTAAAAAATGCCAAAAGGGTGTCCTTTTGATCTATCAAATTAGTAAAAATAAAATTTTTACTCATCCTTACTCATCAGTGCTAATAACTTGTGTATTAGCACTGATAAACTGTTGGTCTGTAAATTGGTAAAAGTGGGTAAAAATTGATTAAATTTTTCGGATTATAAAAAAGCTTAGATGGCCTGGTGCGGTGGCTCACACCTGTAATCCCAGCACTTTGGAAGGCCGAAGCGGGTGGATCTCTTGAGGTTAAGAGTTCGAGACCAACCTGGCCAACATGGTGAAACCCCATCTCTATTAAAAATACAAAAATTAGCCAGGTGTGGTGGCAGGCGCCTGTAATCCCAGCTACTTGGGAGGCTGAGGCAGGAGAATCGCTTGAACCTGGGATGTGGAGGTTGCAGTGAACCAAGGTCGCACCACTGCACTCCAGCCTGGGGTACAGAGTGAGACTCCCTCTTAAAAAAAAAAAAAAAAGAAAAGAAAAAAAAGTCTTAGAGTTCTTAACATTATCCTAGTAACTCCATTTCTAGTAATCTATCCTAAGGATGTAATAAAAAATTCAAAGATTTATATGTAGAGATACTAATTACAGCATTATTTATAATTGCAGCCCGGCCAAGATCACCTTTTTAAAAATAGGGAACACAAACATGATTAAGAACTCACGTGCAGAACTTGTGATCTCGATAAAACGTAAAAATCCCGGCCAGGTCCAGTGGCTCACGCCTGTAATCCCAGCACCTTGGGAGGCCGAGGAGGGAGGATCACGAGGTCAGGAGATTGAGACCATCCTGGCTAACACGGTGAAACCCCGTCTCTACTAAAAATACAAAAAAAATTAGCCGGGCACAGTGGTGGGCACCTGTAGTCCCAGCTATTCAGGAGGCTGAGGCAGGAGAATTGCTTGAACCCAGGAGGTGGAGGTTGCAGTGTGCCGAGATTGTGCCATTATACTCCAGCCTGGGGGACAAGAGTGAGACTTTGTCTCAAGAAAATGATAAAAAAAGTCCTTTCAGAAATCTGTGATACTATCTCATTTTAATTTTTGTCATTCTCATGGGTGAAAAATGATATCATTTCACTTTGCATTTCTTTGATCCCTAGGAGGTAAGAGTTTTTTTTTCTATTACTCAAGTACATGACTCAAGATTTTTCATATGTTTATTAGTCATTTGTATTTCTTCTGTGACTTGCTTTTTCCTGTTTCCTTAAAAGAAAATACAGTCTATCTTGATTTGGTAGGACTTTGTATAATATGTATACTATGGGTAATTTTTACTATATATGTTGCAGATATTATCTTCGAATTTGACCTTTGCCTTTTAACTTTTGTTTGGTATTTTATTTTGTCATGTAAACCTTGACATGGTCTAATCTTGATAGTCTTTTTATTGAGGACTTTGCAGTATTATGAAATACTTCTCCACCCCAGCATTATAAGAATATTTTGTTATAGGTACTTGAATGGTTTTGTTCTTTATATTTAGATCTTTAATCCACCTGGAATTCATTTTTATGTCTAGTATAAGGTAGTATTCTCATTTATGTCTAACGGATTTGTCTAACATTCTGACCCATTCAGAGATAATTTATTATTTAAAATGAAATGGAAACTTTTTACTGGTTTTGATTTCTGTTTAAAATATAGGGTACTGAAGAGCCGGGCTTAGTGGCTTAGGCCTGTAATCCCAGCACTTTGGGAGGCTGAGGCAGGAGGATCACTTAAGGCCAGGAGTTTGAGACCAGTGTGGCCAACATGGTGAAACCCTGTCTCTACCAAAAATACAAAAATTATCCAGGCATGGTGGTGTGCACCTTTAATCCCAGCTACTTGGAAGCTGAAGTCACAAGAATCACTTGAACCTGGGAGGCAGAGGTTGCAATGAGCTGAGAATGTACCACTGCACTCCAGCCTGGGTGGTCGAGTGTGACTCTGTCTCAAAAGAAAAAGTGTAGGGTACTGAAGAAATTGAAACATTAAGAATACCATATGAGTAAATTAAACACTTTGGCTCTTTTCGGAAAAAAACAGATGAGCTCTTATATTTTAAAGTTTGGTTTTGACAGAAAAAAATTCCTAGATTTTTTGGTTAATAAAAACTTTATTAGATAGATTAAATTGTGATGTATGGAGATAAAGTTCTGAAAGAAGAATAGAAAGCTTTTTAAAAATAGTATTCTCAGCCTAGGCAACATGGTGAAACCCTGTCTATGCAAAAAATACAAAATGGTGCATTCCTATGGTACCGTTCCTATGGTACCAGCTACTCGGGAGGCTGAGGTTGAGGTGGGAGGATCACTTGAGCCCATGAGGCAGAGGTTGCAGTGAGCCGAGATTGTGCCTCTGTACTCCAGCCTGGGTGACAGAGCAAGACCCTTTCTCAGACAATAAATAAATAAACAAATAAATAAATACACACAGATAGTGTTCTGCTGTAACAGTTGGACAGATTCAATAAAACAGTGTTAACTTTTGAACTAATTTTATTGAAACTAAGTTTCTGTACAAATAGGTACTCAAAACAGCTCAATTTTCTAAATCACAGTACAGCAATTTATTTTTTTTCCTTACATATCCAGAAGAAAATTCAGATGAATTATCTGGTGAACGACAAAGAAAACGCCACAAATCTGATAGTATTTCCCTTTCCTTTGATGAAAGCCTGGCTCTGTGTGTAATAAGGGAGATATGTTGTGAAAGAAGCAGTAGCAGTGAATCTACAGGGACGCCATCGAATCCGGTAATGTTCTCATTTTAAGTAAGGCAAGACTCTTACTGTTCAAAGTCTAGTCCTGGCAGTCCTAATAAGGATACGGATAGAATGTACATGTGTCTTACGAGATTGATAGAAAACACAGTGCTAAATTTTACTTTAAAATAAAACTACTATATTGATCTCCACCTTCAACCCAAGGTATTGTGAGAAATGTGGAAAATAGTGGAGTAACACCGGTATTGGTAAAATTAGTAGTAGTATTAGTAATTATCAATGTCACTGTATGTATTAGAGAATATTTGTGGACCACTGCACCAATAGTACAGTCAAATAAATTGGAGTATAGAGTTGTTTGAGAATTTGAGAGTTACACTTTTTAAAAAAGGAACAAAACCAAAAATTTGGTTCAGTTAAATATTTTAGCATTTTAAGGCAAATTTGACTATTTAGAGTAAAAATATATTTTATTACAGCCATCAGCAAAAAAGTCAGCATAGTCTGAACTTAACATTTGCCAAATAGGTCTAGACATCAGGTAAGTTCTATTTACTTATGCTGTAAAATACAGGTTTATACTGGGCTGGGTGCGGTGGCTCATGCCTGTAATCAGTACTTTCGGAGGCTGAGGCGGGTGGATCACCTGAGGTCAGGAGTTCAAGACCAGCATGGCCAACAAGATGAAACCATGTCTTTACTGAAAATACAAAAATTAGCCAGGCGTGGTGGCGCATGCTTGCAGTCCCAGCTACTTGGGGGCCTGAGGCAGGAGAATCGCTCGAACCCAGGAGTTGGAGGTTGCAGTGAGCTGAGATTGTGCCACTGCACTCTAGCCTGGGTGACAGAGCGAGACTCCATCTCAAAAAAAAAAAAAAAAAATGCAGGTTTATTATTGCATGGATGACGGGAGAGTATCAGTACTTTCTCATTACTAATACAGACTTCCAAAATATTAGTGAGCAGCATTTCTTAAGAGATGTCACTGAAAGAAGTTTGGTAAAAAATTTTTTTGTTAACAAGAATGCTTGACAAATGGAATATTTTGTTTTGTATGTCTTTAATCAAGCTTGTCCAACCCATGGCCTGTGGGCCATATGCCAGGATGGCTTTGAATGTGGCCCAACACAAATTCATAAACTTTCTTAAAATATTATGATTTTTTTTTTTACAATTTTTTTTCTGCTCATCAGCTATTGTTAGTGTATTTTATGTGTGGCCCAAGACAATTCTTCCAATGTCGCCCACGGAAACCAAAGGATTGGATACATTTTTTGGTAATATGGCAGTGTCTCATGGCCATTATTCTGGGTATTAGTAATCATTGTATAGTACTCTAGAAGATGTAGGAAGTGGAACCAATTGTGATAGTAATCCTAGTCTTTTACCTATTCTTGTTACTTCCTGTATTATCTTTTTTTCTCTTCCAAAGCAGTGATTGTATGAACGCATACCTGCCCTCTAGAGTTACTGTACCTAACGGAGCTGTTACTTATGTAGACCGCTAGATGGCATGATGAGCTCCTGCTCAGTCTGAGAGCAGGTTCTTCATTTGTAGATATTTAAGTTTATACCAAATTCCATACAGTTGAGATGGCACTGCAGATACAGTGGTAGTCAAGGTAGATATGGTTCTTGCCTTCATTGGGAGATAGATCATTAATGACAAAAATGAAAACATTTAATAAATCCAGTGGAAAAAATAGGCTCTTGAGCGGAAATATATGTGATAAAATTGAATCCAATTAAAACTTGATGAGTATCCAACCTACAAGTTTGGTTAAAAAGAGAATTATTATACCCTATTTATTTATTTATTGAGATTGAGTCTCTCTGTCTCCCAGGCTGGAGTGCAGTGGTGCAATCTTGGCTCACTGCAACCTCCACCTCCCCGGTTCAGGCGATTCTCATGTCTCAGCCTCCTGAGTAGCTGGGATTACAGGCTCCCATCACCACACCTGGCTAATTTTTGTATTTTTAGTAGAGATGGGGTTTCACTATGTTGGCCAGGCTGGTCTTGAGCTCCTGACCTCAAGTGATCTGCCTGCCTTGGCCTCCCAAAGTGTTGGGATTACAGATGTGAGCCACCTGCCCGGACCCCTATTTAATGTATAGTTTTTGTTAAAGTTATATCAGAATTCTAGCTGAATGATATTTAGAGTCCTTGTTCCTGCTTTGTACCTGGGACACTGCCTTGTTACTGATATGGCTTTGAGGAGTAGAGGAACACCAGGTTTTTTGTTTTGAGTTGAATTAGATAAAACGACACGGACACACGTGGAGTGGTTTTAAGGAGCAGAGCGTTTAATAGGCAAGAAGGGAGAAGGCAGAAGGAAGAAGCTCCCCCTTACACAGACAGAGGGAGGGGGGCTCTAAAGCTGAAAGAGGAGACCTTACATTCTGACAATACTAGCCAGTTTTATGTGACGGCTGGAGGGGGTGGTGTCTTATTTGCATAGGGCTCAGAGGATTGGTTTGACCAGGCATGTCATTTAGCCCTCAAGAAAACTGGCCCTCCCACCCCAGTCCTTTAATACACAAATGCAGGATGCCATGACATTTTACACACGGGGTTATGTGGGGGCGGCCATGCTGTTAGGTACCTGATGGAGCAAGGGCAAGAGGACAACGGTGGGAATCGCCATGTTGGGTGGACCCTCTTGCATTTGCATCTTAAAGGTTGCCAGCCTTTAAGAGCCAGGGCTTTTATGCTAGACAAGAAATTTTTCTGGAGCTACGAAAAACCTTCCAAGGACCACTTTTCCTCTCCATTTGCCTAAAATAATTTCTTAATAACTCGTGTGGAGTAGAGGGGTATTTCTTTTTTTCTTTTTGTTAGTCCTGTCCTGCATTCTCTTAAAAAATCCTATCTATAAAAAATCTCAGCCGGGCGTGGTGGCTCATGCCTGTAATCCCAGCACTTTGGAAGGCCCAGGCGGGCGGATCACCTGAGGTCAGGAGTTCAGGACCAGCCTCGCCAACATGTTGTGAAAACCCATCTCTACTAAAAATACCAAAAATTAGCTGGGCATAGTGGCGGGCACCTGTAATCTAGCTACTCAGGAGGCTGAGACAGGAGAATCGCTTGAACCCGGGAGGCGGAGGTTGCAGTGAGCTGAGATCACGCCATTGCACTGCAGCCTGGGCAACGAGAACGAAATTCCATCTCAAACAACAACAACAAAATCTCGTTTTTCAGGTTAAGTCCCTAGTTGTGAAAGCTTTTGGTAGGGCCAGTTTTTTTTTCTTCTTCGTTTTAATTTCCCTCATTTGAGAATGTTGTAGTCATCATTGGGTGTCATCATTCACCAGTTTGTGAAGGGAGTTAAAGGAAAGTGCATTCCTCTCCCATCTTTTCTTTCTTTGGGGTTTAATAAATTGTGGGAAACTAAGACTGTGTTCTAGACTGTACACCATGCAGTTTATATTATGATCTTCTGTCATCTTTGCAGCCTCAGATTCCATTTTTAGCTAAGACTGGGGTTTTAAATAACTTGTTTAAGGTTCCTACAACTAATTGTCACAATTGGAATTCAAACAATTCTAGGTATTTTTGACTACAAAGATCTAAGATCTTTGCAGAGCAAGCCTATCTGATGCTTAAAAAAATATATATTTTTTAAATTTTTGAGACAGTCTCTCACTCCGTTGCCCAGGCGGGAGTGCAGCGCATGATCATGGCTTACTGCAACCTCAACCTCCTGGGTTCAAGCAATCCTTCCTCCTCAGCCTTGAGAGTTAGCTGGGACTACAGGTGTGCACCACCACACCTGGCTAATTTTTTTTACTTTTTTTTTTTCAGAGATGAGATCTTGGCCTGTTGCCCAGGCTGGTCTCAAACCGCTGGGCTTATGTGATTCTCCTGCTTTGGCTCCCAGAGTATTGGGATTACAGGCATGAGCCACCACCTCCAGCCTGATGCTTTTTAAATATATAGTATTTAGGTCTGGTGCAGTGGCTCATGCTTGTAATCCCAGCACTTTGGGAGGCTGAGGCGGGCGGATCACAAGGTCAGGAGATCGAGACCATCCTGGCTAACACGGCGAAACCCCGTCTCTACTAAAAATACAAAAAATTAGCCGGGCGTGGTGGCGGGCACCTATAGTCCCAGCCACTGGGGAGGCTGAGGCAGGAGAATGGCGTGAACCCAGGAGGTGGAGCTTGCAGTGAGCCGAGATGGTGCCACTGCACTCCAGCCTGGGTGACAGAGCGAGACTCTGTCTCCAAAAAAAAAAAAAAAAAAAAAAAATATATATATATATATATTTATATTTAAATAATGTATAAATATATAATATATAATTATAAATCTATTATATATTAATGTATATTATATATTACATTGTTATATATATTTATATAATTATATATTTATATAAATATAAATATATATATTTATATAAATATAAAAATATAATTATATAAATATAAAAATATATATTTATGTAAATATAAATGGGCAGGCACCTGTATATATTATATATATTACTATTTATATAAATATAAATATATATTTTAAATATTTATTTTATATATTTTAAAAATATATATAGAGAGAGATAATTTAATAGTTTCTGGGGCATTCTTTTGCGAACATTAGCCAAAACTTTAAAAACCACTCCCAATATTGCATTTTTTCATGGTATTTTTTATAGTATTTTTATAGTATCCTAGGACAGGAGTTGGCAAACTTTCTGTAAAGAGCCACATAGTTAATTATTTGGGCTCTGCCGGGCCATGGTTTCTGTCACAGCTACTCAGCCCCGCTCTTGTAATGCAGGAGCAACTGTAGACAACAAGTCAACAAATAGGCATGGCTGTGTTCAATAAAACTTTATTTATAAAAGTCGATGGGTGATGGGCCACAGTTTGCAGACCCCTACCGTAGAGTATGTTTTCTGAGATTTAATGTTTCTTGTGATTTACCCCCTTATTCTAAAATTAGTGCACTAAAGACTTTAGTTAGTTGAAGTATTTGGTTTGTTGGGTTACTTTGTTAGTGTTAATTGTATCCTAACTTGACTTGTGATTCTAATCTGATTGGTAGTAGAGCCCTTGTTAGGAATTTGAGCTGCAACTTGATGAATGTTGCTTTTACTCTCCTTCCTAACATTACTCTAAAAAAGTCTTTTGATGTCAGAGGCTGTAAAATAATATACTTTGTTTCTGTTTTTAAAACTGATACAGATATGGAAATCATTTAATCTAAGCTCCTTTTCTAGATGAAGTAGCTACAGCCTTTAGAAGTTAAATGATATGGGCTGGGCGAGGTGGCTCACAGGTGTAATCCCAGCATTTTGGGAGGCCGAGGTGGCGGATCACTAGAGGTCAGGATTTCGAGACCAGCCCAGCCAACATGACGAAACCCCGTCTCCACTAAAAACATAAAAATTAGCCGGGTGTGGTAGTGGACACCTGTAATCTCAGCTACTTGGGAGGCTGAGGCAGGAGAATAGCTTGAACCCCGGAGGCGGAGGTTGCAGTGAGCTGAGATCATGCCACTGCATTTCATCTTGGGTGACAGAGCAAGACTCTTGTCTCAAAAAAAAAAAGGGCCGGGCATGGTGGCTCACACCTGTAATCCTAACACTTTGGGAGGCCAAGGCGGTTGAATTGCTTGAGGTCAGGAGTTCAAGACCAGCCTGGCCAACATGGTGAAGCCCTGCCTCTACTAAAAATACAAAAATTAGCCAGGCATGGTGGCATGCGCCTGTAGTCCCAGCTACTTGGGAGGCTGAGGCAGGAGAATTGCTTGAACTTGGGAGGTGTAGGTTGCAGTGAGCTGAGATCAGGCCACTGCACTCCAGCCTGGGTGATGGAGCAAGATTCCATCTCAAAATAAATAAAATAAGTTAAATGATGTTGTTTAAGGTTAAATTAGCTACTTAGTGGCAAGTGTAGAATAAGCCATATCCCGACTTCTAGACTTTTTCCAATTGTAGCCTTCTGCTTATATATGCTCCTACCCTTAGCCACTGACAGCAAATATTATTGCCCTGAAGGTCTTACTAGGTTCTTATACAATTTATTGAAGTCCTGAAACGAAGAATCAGATGAGCAGCTACAGAATTTTTTTTAATTGTCTAAAGGCTCTTTAAAAGAAAATCTCAAAGTTTATTAAAAAACATAAGTATCTATGACTCGAGACATTTTTCTAAGAAAAAAAACCCATAAGTATTACAAGTGTTGTGTCTTGTTACGTGTATTCTACCAATTTGGACATAGAAAGATGAGTGACAGGTTTTAGCTCAAAGTATATATAATTCAGATGAGAAACATGCCTGCAAAATTATGTTTTGCATAATTTATGTGTGAGACTATATAATTCATTATTATACAAGTAGTAAGGATAATTAAAGGTGGAAGAGCCTTTTCAGTTATGGTATTGACAAAGGCTTAGTCAAAGAAGGATGAATAGGATTTTGAAACTGAAATTATTCTAGTTAGAGGGGGAAAGTGTGGAAGTTGAAATGCCAAGATTAGTTGAGGAAGCAATCTAGATCTGGCGGGATTATCCATATTTAGTAAGGGAGGAGGGGTGTCTAGTTGAAGACAGACGAAGATGTTAATACAGTCACACTGTAGGTACTTTCGATGCCAAGAGGCTTTGGTGTTTTTCCTTTATGCAGTGGGGTTTTGAACAGGGAAAATAATGTAGTAATAACCTTGAAACCTTAATCTAGTTTCAGTATGCAGGATGGATCTGAGGAGGAAATGTGCGTGGCAACCGGCTCCGGGATGGCTGGCTGGGGGGCCTAGTCTTCTGCCCGCCGATCTCCCTCGGGAAGTCCCGGATCAGAGCAGCAGGCCCATCCCCCAACTGTTACACCCTGCTGGCAGCAGCAGAGGCACAGGGATGAGTTAGGAAACAGATACAGAGGTCAAGAGGTGATGTTTATTAAGTTATATATTTTTTTCTTGTTTTAGGATCTTGATGCTGGTGTAAGTGAACATTCAGGTGATTGGTTGGATCAGGATTCAGTTTCAGATCAGTTTAGTGTAGAATTTGAAGTTGAATCTCTCGACTCAGAAGATTATAGCCTTAGTGAAGAAGGACAAGAACTCTCAGATGAAGATGATGAGGTAGTATTTTTTTTCCCCTCTAATTATATTGGAAAATTATTAAATATTTTCTATGTTCATTGACTTTGAGATTGAAATAATATTATTCAGATTTCACTTGAAATCTTTACCTCTTGATTTGTTTAAACTAACACATTGGTTTGTGGACTTGAGGATTTCATAGTTCTTTATCATCTGATTTATATTATTATATTACTACTAATTGCCAAGAAGTCAATAGACCTCAATGAACATGCTTATTATAATGGTCTGTTCACTTTTAAAAACATATAATTCAACTACTGTTTTAATATTAACTTACTTTCTATAAAAGTAAAACATGCATACAGTTAAAGTCAAGTAGTACCCTTAGAGATCTGTTTCCCAGAAGTGACTGCCTTTAACATTTCTAGCTATTTCCCTATTATTTAATATCTCCATATTAGTTATTTATGAAGTAAAACCACCTAGCTGAATGTTTTGTTTTATTCATCCTAAACATCCTTTGTATTGACTTTTACCATTGTGGGTAAGGATTTCTCTCTCCTCCATTTTTTCCCCCTTTACACTCACTTACTCTATTTGATATTGTCTAAGGCTTTCTCATATATTGTAGTACATGATATTTGTTTAGGACTTATTACTAGGAAGCCTTCTGATTGAAGGAAATAGGGCGATGAATTGATGCTAATGAATGTGTTTTATTAGGTATATCAAGTTACTGTGTATCAGGCAGGGGAGAGTGATACAGATTCATTTGAAGAAGATCCTGAAATTTCCTTAGCTGTAAGTATACATCTACTTTTTTAAGAAATAAAAATTTCATTAAGGTCAAGATTAGGAGACTATATCTAGCTTCTTTCTGAAATGAACTGATTTTTATAAAGTTAAAATGTTTTTGTAAAGTCTGAATAATTTAAAGCATTTTTCTTTTATTTGTTGTGATGAGACCTGTAGCTATAATTTTTATTTTTAGGTGCTGGAATTTGAACTTTTTTTTTTTTTTTTTTAAACAGGGTCTTACCCTTCTCCCAAGCTGGAGTGCAGTGGTGCAATCTCAGTGCACTGCAGCCTCCACCTCCCAGGTTCAAGTGATTCTCGTGCCTCAGTCTCCTGAGTAGCTGGAATTACAGGCATGCACCACTATACCCCACTAATTTTTTTATTTTTAGTAGAGATGGGGTTTCACCATGTTGGCCAGGCTGGTCATGAACTCCTGACCTCAAGTGATCTGCCCACCTTGGTCTCTCAAAGTGCTGGGATTACAAGCATGAGTCACTGCCCAGCTGAATTTGTACATTTTGATGTTATTTTGGAAAATTTCAGTGTATCTCCAGTATACTCATCACCCAGCTTTAACTATTACCAACATTTTGCCAACCTTGTCAAACGTAAACTTTTTTTTTTTTCAATTGAGATAGGGTCCTGCCCTGTCTTCCAGGCTGGAGTGCAGTGATGTGATCATGGCTCACTGCAGCCCCCACCTCCCAGGCTCAAGTGATCCTCCCACCTCAGCCTCCTGAGTAGCTGGAATAACAGGTGCATGCCATCACACCCCAGCTAATTTTTGTATTTTTTGTAGAAATGTCACCATGTTGCCCAGGATGGTCTTGAACTCCTGGGCTCAAGTGATCCACCTGCCTCAGTCTCCCAAAGTGCAAGGATTACAGGTGTGAGCCATCACACCCAGCCAAATGTAAACATTTTTATTACTGATTTGTATTATAGAATGTGGTAGGATTTGCCATTAAAGAAATTAACACTTAAATGTTTACATCTCATGCATACTTCACTGAGTTCCTGAGGTATTATAGGTTTTTTTAAAACTATTGTGCTTTAGTTTTTGTTCTTAATATTGCCTTTATTATATTTGAATAGGAAATAAATTCCATTTTTTCTGAGTTATAGACAGTTACTAATTATTCAAGTGCAAAAAAGGATGAAAATTCAAGAGTTTCCAAAATTTTTACTGTATTAGAAAATAAATAACTAATTGAATCATTTGATGTCAAGTTGAGTAAAATATTTTAGATACTTTTAATTTTTTAAATCTATTTTAAGACTCAAATTATTTTAGATATTCATCTTGGAATTTATTGGACTTTTTGATGCACTTTTACTCCCATATTGCAAGACCTTTTTCTTTGGTTTTATGAGCTGTGAAAAACCCCCTTCTATAACTTGAAAAAAGAAGAATGAATAGTCTATCTTTATTGCTCCTGTCTTAACATCATTTGTGAGGCAATCTCAAAATGGTTACGGAAATACCTCTTACTTAAGAGTTTTCACTTGTTAAATGTCCTCAGGCAAGAACCATGCTTCAGCTAAGGCAAGAAGATAGGTTATGTAAAAAGGCTGGGGATGTGGGAGAGTTTGTTATCCAAATTGCATGGTGGAAAGGTTTGTGGGATAAAACGTTGGGAAAAGGAAGAAGCATTGAGCAGTTACAAAGATGAGAACACAGGAAAGGATAGACAGGTAAAGGAAAGGATATTACGGTTAGTGACCAAGGATGATAGGTTTTAGCAGCAATACTTGCTGTGAAAAATGTTTTAGCATTTCTCTTGTGGATGGAGTTAGGGAATACTCAGTTAAGCCATGGTTTTAGAGTACTTCTAAGGTAGTTCTAGTCACTGGTGGATTAGGAAGTCTTTCTCGAGGAGGCAGGTTTCATCTAGATTGATGGGATGGACTCTTGGAATAGCGCCTAGGGTTGAGCCTTTAAGGGAGTGGATATAGGCTGCATGACAGAGTAAAAGATCCCATAGACTTGCTTCAACTAAAGGAAGCAACTGCATTTGTATCCTGAAACAGATAACTTTATAGGTACATGATTAATATCACATCACAGTTAATATATTTTTAGTTTAGAATTTTTCAGGATGGTAAGGGTGAAAAAAATGGGTGTACTTACTCTACTTTAGGAGAGACTGTTACATATTGACCTTTAAAAATCTGTTTTGTGTATAATTGAGACATATAACGTGATGTTTTGACACACATGTAAATAGTGAAATGATCACTACAGTCAAGCAAATTAATGTAATCCATTATCTTGAATAGTTAACCTTTCTTGTGTGTATGGTTAAAATACCTAAAATCTATTCTTTTAGTAAATTTCCAGTATACCAATATATAACTAACTATAGTCCTCATGCTGTTTACAGTGACTATTTTATATAAAACATGAAACACTGAATATTGAGCCCTATGATATACTTTACCTTAGACATAGCAAAGTTGCTAGCATTCCTGTGACTGAGCAGTTAAAGGGTTACAGAAACTGACTGTGTGTCTTATTTCATTGAAGGACTATTGGAAATGCACTTCATGCAATGAAATGAATCCCCCCCTTCCATCACATTGCAACAGATGTTGGGCCCTTCGTGAGAATTGGCTTCCTGAAGATAAAGGGAAAGATAAAGGGGAAATCTCTGAGAAAGCCAAACTGGAAAACTCAACACAAGCTGAAGAGGGCTTTGATGTTCCTGATTGTAAAAAAACTATAGTGAATGATTCCAGAGAGTCATGTGTTGAGGAAAATGATGATAAAATTACACAAGCTTCACAATCACAAGAAAGTGAAGACTATTCTCAGCCATCAACTTCTAGTAGCATTATTTATAGCAGCCAAGAAGATGTGAAAGAGTTTGAAAGGGAAGAAACCCAAGACAAAGAAGAGAGTGTGGAATCTAGTTTGCCCCTTAATGCCATTGAACCTTGTGTGATTTGTCAAGGTCGACCTAAAAATGGTTGCATTGTCCATGGCAAAACAGGACATCTTATGGCCTGCTTTACATGTGCAAAGAAGCTAAAGAAAAGGAATAAGCCCTGCCCAGTATGTAGACAACCAATTCAAATGATTGTGCTAACTTATTTCCCCTAGTTGACCTGTCTATAAGAGAATTATATATTTCTAACTATATAACCCTAGGAATTTAGACAACCTGAAATTTATTCACATATATCAAAGTGAGAAAATGCCTCAATTCACATAGATTTCTTCTCTTTAGTATAATTGACCTACTTTGGTAGTGGAATAGTGAATACTTACTATAATTTGACTTGAATATGTAGCTCATCCTTTACACCAACTCCTAATTTTAAATAATTTCTACTCTGTCTTAAATGAGAAGTACTTGGTTTTTTTTTTTCTTAAATATGTATATGACATTTAAATGTAACTTATTATTTTTTTTGAGACCGAGTCTTGCTCTGTTACCCAGGCTGGAGTGCAGTGGCGTGATCTTGGCTCACTGCAAGCTCTGCCTCCCGGGTTCGCACCATTCTCCTGCCTCAGCCTCCCAATTAGCTTGGCCTACAGTCATCTGCCACCACACCTGGCTAATTTTTTGTACTTTTAGTAGAGACAGGGTTTCACCGTGTTAGCCAGGATGGTCTCGATCTCCTGACCTCGTGATCCGCCCACCTCGGCCTCCCAAAGTGCTGGGATTACAGGCATGAGCCACCGCGTCCGGCCTAAATGTCACTTAGTACCTTTGATATAAAGAGAAAATGTGTGAAAGATTTAGTTTTTTGTTTTTTTGTTTGTTTGTTTGTTTGTTTGTTTTGAGATGAGTCTCTCTGTCGCCCAGGCTGGAGTGCAGTGTCATGATCTAGCAGTCTCCGCTTCCCGGGTTCAAGCCATTCTCCTGGCTCAGCCTCTGGAGCAGCTGGGATTACAGGCATGCACCACCATGCCCAGCTAATTTTTGTATTTTTAGTAGAGATAGGGTTTCACCATGTTGGCCAGGCTGGTCACGAACTCCTGACCTCAAGTGAGGTCACCCGCCTCGGCCTCCCGAAGTGCTGGGATTGCAGATGTGAGCCACCATGTCCAGCCAAGAATTAGTATTTAAATTTTAGATACTCTTTTTTTTTTTTTTTTTTTTTTTTTTTGAGACAGAGTCTTGCTCCATCACCCATGCTAGAGTGCAGTGGAGTGATCTCGGCTCACTGCAACTTCCGCCTTCTGGGTTCAAGCTATTCTCCTGCCTCAGCCTTCCAAGTAACTGGGATTACAGGCATGTACCACCATACCAGCTGATTTTTTTGTATTTTTAGTAAAGACAGGGTTTCACCATGTTAGCCAGGCTGATCTTGAACTCCTAAACTCAAGTGATCTACTCACCTCAGCCTCCCAAAATGCTGGGATTACAGATGTGAGGCACCTGGCCTCAGATTTTTGATACTCTTAAACCTTCTGATCCTTAGTTTCTCTCTCCAAAATACTCTTTCTAGGTTAAAAAAAAAAAGGCTCTTATATTTGGTGCTATGTAAATGAAAATGTTTTTTAGGTTTTCTTGATTTAACAATAGAGACAGGGTCTCCCTGTGTTGCCCAGGCTGGTCTCGAACTCCTGGGCTCAAGAGATCCTCCTGTCTTGGCCTCGCAAAGTGCTAAGTAGGATTACAGGCGTTAGCCACCACACCCGGCTGTAAAAATGTACTTATTCTCCAGCCTCTTTTGTATAAACCATAGTAAGGGATGGGAGTAATGATGTTATCTGTGAAAATAGCCACCATTTACCCGTAAGACAAAACTTGTTAAAGCCTCCTGAGTCTAACCTAGATTACATCAGGCCCTTTTTCACACACAAAAAAATCCTTTATGGGATTTAATGGAATCTGTTGTTTCCCCCTAAGTTGAAAAACAACTCTAAGACACTTTAAAGTACCTTCTTGGCCTGGGTTACATGGTTCCCAGCCTAGGTTTCAGACTTTTGCTTAAGGCCAGTTTTAGAAACCCGTGAATTCAGAAAAGTTAATTCAGAAATTTGATAAACAGAATTGTTATTTAAAAACTAACTGGAAAGATTGTTAAGTTCTTTCTGAATTATTCAGAAATTATGCATCATTTTCCTTCAAGAATGACAGGGTCAGCATGTGGAATTCCAAGATACCTCTTGACTTCCTCTCAAGCTCCGTGTTTGGTCAGTGGAGGCCCATCCGAGCTCAGCACTGAGAAGTGTTAGTTTCTTTGGGACCCATCTACCCTGACCACATCATGATGTTCATCTGCAGCTGTTGCAAGGTGTTCAGATTGTATAAACATAAATGTCACAAAAACTTTAAAAGAAGTGCAATTCTCAAAAGGTTAGGTGGACTAAAGCATTCTGTAAAGCAACTGCTAATAATGAGCTTACAGTGGATTTGAATTTGAAAAATATAGTAACAAGCCTGTCAAATATCTGCAAGAACTATGGAATAAAACTACTGATGCAGTGAAGACAGTTGAAAAGATCAAACAAATGCCAAGCTATATTTATAATGAACAAATTCAAGAAAAAGGACTACGGAAAGTTCAGGACATCAAAGAAGTCAGGCAAAACTCATCTTGACCCCTGTTGCAGGCAAAGGAACGCAGCTGGAAGAAAAGATGATATAACAGTTAACAGGATGCAGACATGGCAGAGGTTTCCTAAAAATCTCATTATCTATAACCATTTCTATATTTACATTTGAAAATCTCCTTTGGAGACTTAGAACCTCTAAATTATTGACTTATTTTTTATATAAGGTCACTCCGATGAAAGGTGATTACAAAATCATCTACATTGCTGTCTACAAAACAGATAATATGGATGTTTGATCGCATCTCATTGTTAACTCTTTACTGATATGTTTGTAAATACAGAAGTGAAATGTGGACATAAAATAGTTACGCTATTTGGTTAATGGTACTAGACAACATGTAATTAATGACATTCAAAAATTTATGGCTAGTGATATATATAAAGTAAAATTTTCTTTGCAGTAAAATATGCCCTTTATTATAGAAGGGAGGATATAAGGAACCAACAGTTTGTATGAAAATAGCTCAAATAATATCTTTTATTTTGATTTTAATATTTCTTATTTTGGTTTATTAGTGTCTTAGAACAAAATGGCCTTATATAATGAAGCCTAGTTATGCTGGACTGTTTTGATCTCTTTTAATTGTTCTGACAGATAGTTGGGGATGAGAGCCGAATAAGGTTTGCCTGAAATAACTGACACTATATAATTTCTGCTTTGGCAAATACTAAGTTCTAACTTGTCATTCCTGGTAGAACAAGCTTTATTTTTCGAGCCTAGCAATGATCTAGAAGCAGATGTTATCTCAGTGCCTTTTGCAATTTGTTGTGTGGGTTTTTTTTTTTTTAAAGCCACACAATAATTTTGGAAAACAATGTATGGGTAGAACATGTGTCTGTTAATTGCACACAAAACCACTTTTAATGGGTACAGAGTTAAATTTGAAGGAATAAGTTCTAGCTGAAGTATTATGAACTCCAAATAATGCTTTGAGGACCTCCAAAGGTAAAAGTACTAATCCCTTTGGCCATTTATTGAGAGAGAGAGAGAGAGAGAGTAGGGTGACTATAGTTAATGTATTGAATGTTCTTGCTACAAATAAATGATATTTGAGCTGATGGGTGTGCTAATTACACTGATTTGATCAATACCCATTGTATGTGAAACAGTACATACACCATATTTACAATTATGTATTTAACATTTAAAATTTCTAATATAAGTATCTCTCAAACTGTGGATTAACTTCTTGATTTATATTTAAATATGAATCTTAAGCAAAACAGTGAAAATAACCATCTTGATTTAGTGTTTTTCTCCCATATGTGAATTGTATATACTTAGGTGAAGACAATAAAATCAACTGAACTGTAAGCTTAGAATAGGACTGAGGTAATTCTGCACAGCAACTTTACTAATGGTACATTGTTGCTTCAAAACTCTCTCTCTCTCTCTCTGTCTGTCTCAATAAATGGCCAAAGGGATTAGTAGTTTACCTGTGGAGGTCCTCCAAGCATTATTTGGAGTTGATAATACTTCAGCTACAACCAAGCAGAATCTCTTTTTTTTGGAGGTCCTCGAAGCATTATTTGGAGTTGATAATACTTCAGCTTCAATTTGGAGTTGATAATATTTCAGCTAGAACCTAGTAGAATCTGTTTTTTTCCTTTGGAGGTCCTCAAAGCATTATTGGAGTTCATAATACTGAAGCTAGAACCAAGCAGAATCTGTTTTTTTCTGAGGAGTATCGGTAGCATAAATGTGATTATAAACATAGTACACTTGATATATGGAGGCAGTGACAGCTATTTTTACAAAATTTAAATCTGCAAATGGATTCAACATGTTTATGGGTTATTAAAATTGTCTGATTTCTTAGGTTCTTTATAGTACACGTGTTGAAAATAAATGATTAAGAATTGTTTCAAGAATGCAATTATTTGATCTTAAATTTTTATGAGTTGTTAAAATAGAAATTATTTGAATATCATATATTTGGGTAACAAAAGGCACAAGTCTGAATGTGTTTCTTTTTCTGGAATGGCCATGCCTGCCCACTTTAGAAATACAAATATCACTGGGCAGCTTGAAGCAGTTGGGAGCCTCCAATGAGAGCAACTTGAGAGAATGATGTTGCAAGTTAGTAGGAGTAAGAAATGCTGTGTTCTCCCTGTCTTCTCTTAGGTCACATGGCAGCCTGGCCTAAGTGATCGTGAATGGTCTATAAGGGAGGTAGCTGGGACAGGGAGGGGAGTTTGGGCTAGCCACCGTACCACTTGTCAGCGTGAAAAGTAAGATTGTAATTGCCTGTTTAGTTTTCTGCCTCATCTTTGAAAGTTCCACCAAGCTGGGAACCTCTTGATTGTGAGGCACAAATGTAAGTACATCAGAAAAAAACAAAAAAACTGGCTTTAAAGCAGGAGCTTGTGGGCCCCTAAGCCAGACGGGGACTAGCTTTTGGCATTATATAATTAAGATTTTTTAAATCCTTAATAAGGGTTTTATTTTATTTTTATTTATTTTTTGAGACGGAGTCTTGCTCTGTGGCTCAGGCTGGAGTACAGTGGTGCAATCTTGGCTCACTGCAACCTCTGCCTCCTGGCTGTGTTCAAGTGGTTCTGCTTCAGCCTCCCAAGTAGCTGGGGTTAGAGCACCCTGTCACCACGCCCCGCTAATTTTTGTATTTCTAGCAGAGATGAAGTTTCACTATGTTGGCCAGGCTGGGCTCAAACTCCTGACCTCAAGTGATCTGCCCGCCTTGGCCCCCCAAAGTGCTGTGATTACAGGCGTGAGCCGCCACGCCCAGCCTAATAAGGGTTTTAAAGATAATTAGTGTGTAGGTCTGTAGGCTTATGATGGTAACCACAAGTTGTTAATGGCATTGTGAAAAGTTTTTAGTTGCGCTTTATGGGTGGATGCTGAATTACATTTTGATTTGATACTTATAAAAAGAAAAAGTATTTCTTCAGCTTAAAAAATTGTTTAAAAGTTTGTGATCATATTGTCTACCATGTAGCCAGCTTTCAATTATATGTAAGAGGGACTTTTTGACATTTACAAATAATACTTTGAGGTAGATATCTGAAAGCACCAGCACTTGGAAGGTGTTCAGAAGTAACAAATTATAAAATGAGCTAACAAACGAAAGGCAAAATAAAACCGTAAAGCAAGCAGATGGGAGGCGTGTTCAGTAACTTATTCATAATGCATCTGAAATGATTGCTGTACTCAAATATTTAACGTTAGAGTAATAGTATTTTGAATGAAAACCATAGTTGATTGTCTTTAGAGAGAGGAGTGGTACTGAAACATACTTGAATTCGTATTGCTTTCCTTTAAAGCTCTCCTTTAAAGACTTTAAAAAAAATTCGATAGGCATTTTCATGTTTCAGTCCTACAATCCCACATCTCTGCTGCCTTCAGAATGCTACAACTTAGATGTCCAGCCAACAGCTTAAAGCCAATTTATAAAAATAGCATCTTTCCTAATTCCAAAATTTCACCTTTTGTTTGTTTTGTTTTGAGATGCGGTCTTGCTCTGTCGCCCAGGCTGGAATGCAGTGCTGCAAACATGACTCACTACAGCCTCAACCTCCTGGGCTCAAGCAATCCTCCCACCTCAGCCTCCCAAGTAGCTGGGGACCACAGGTGCAAGCCACCAGGTCCAGCTAACCTTCCCCCCACCTCCCCCGACCCCGCTGCCACCCGCCCTGAGACAGAGTCTTGCTCTTTCACCCAGACTGGAGTGCAGTGGTGCAATCTCGGCTCATTGCAACCTCCACCTCCCAGGTTCAAGCAATTCTGCCTCAGCCTCCTGAGTAGCTGGAATTATAGGTGCTCGCCAACCACACCTGGCTAATTTTTTTTGTATTTTTAGTAGAGATGGGGTTTCAGCATGTTGTCCAGGCTGGTCTCGAACTCCTGACCTCATGATCCGCCCACCTCGGCCTCCCAAAGTACTGGGATTACAGGCGTGAGCCACCGTGCCCGGCCTAATTTTTGTATTTTTTGTAGAGACAGTTTCACCATGTTGCCCAGGCTGGTCTCAAACTCCTGGGGTCAAGTGATCTGCCCGTCTTGGCTTCCCAAAGTGCTGAGATTACAGGTGTAAGCCACCACGCCAAGCCCAAAATTTCACCTTTTAAATTTATTCCATTTATTTTGTAGGTGAATTTCATTTATTTCTCAGGGTTAAATTTTAGCGCTTTTGCCTGTGTCTATTTTTGGTTCACACCTCCCCAGCCCACTGTCCTGTATTAAGTAGGCCTTCCTTCAAGATCACAGTAATATCTCCCTAAATGGATTTCACTACGTTTGGTCCTATTTTTGGTTCAGTTATAGTTTACAGATACCATCATGTTGCTTCCCTGATTTAAATATTGGGGGAAAAACTTGCTTTTTGGATTTTATCTCTGATGTTCTACTGGATTATTTTAGACTTTTAGAACACTATGAAATGGGTGCTTGCTTTTCACTTTTCAAACCTTTTTTGCTTAAACAAAGTTCATAAGCTTATTGTAGTGGGAAGTTCAAAGTCACAGATCTGGTACTTACTCGCCTAGTGACCTTAGAGACAATAAATCTATAGAGCCTAGTATGGGGTCTGGCAGGTAGTAAGCACTTTTAATGAATGGAAGTTTAATATTCTGTTTGCATCCACTCGACCATAATCACCCCAAATCCAGCTTAGGTAGCCTTGAATTAACCCCTACTCCACCTTGAAGTTTTTTATTTGTTTTTTGCTGAGACAGGGTCTCATTCTGTCACCCAGGCTGGAGTATAGTGGCGCAAACATGACTCACTGCAGCCTCCTGAGTAGCTGGGAACACAGGCCTGTTGCCACCATGCCTGGCTAATATATATATTATATATAATATACATATATTACATATATATATATAATACATATGTGTTTATGTATGTATGTGTGTGTACATTATATATATATATATACTTTTTTTAGAGGCAGAGTCCTGCTATGTTGCCCAGGCTGGCCTTGAACTCCTGGGCTCAAGCAATCCTCGTGTCTTGACCTTGACCTCTCAAAATGCTGGGATTACAGGTGCGAGCCACTGCATCTGGTGAATTAAGCCTTTTTTATACACTCAACTCTGAGGTATTCTGTTCATACCAATATGTTCCTTTGTATCTTCTTGCCATAGCAGGTTGTAACATCCTTTTGTATCTCCTTTCTTTTTTTTTTTTTTTTTTTGAGACGGAGTCCCGCTGTTTAGCCCAGGCCGGATTGCAGTGGCGCAATCTCGGCTCACTGCAAGCTCCGCCTCCCAGGTTCACGCCATTCTCCTGCCTCAGCCTCCCGAGTAGCTGGGACTACAGGCGCCCGCCACCGCGCCTGGCTAATTTTTTGTATTTTTAGTAGAGACGGGGTTTCACCGTGTTAGCCAAGATGGTCTCGATCTCCTGACCTTGTGATCCGCCCGCCTCGGCCTCCCAAAGTGCTGGGATTACAGGCGTGAGCCACCGCGCCCAGCCGTATCTCCTTTCAAATGTCAAATAAATACATTGTGTATACAGTAGTAAAGGATGTTGATTGGCATTGAAAGCAACTATCAAGTTCTTGTTGATTTAGAAGACAAAAAGACAATTTTAAAATAACATCCTGGGCCAGGCTCTGTGACTCACGCCTGTAATCTCAACACTTTGGGAGGCCAAGGAAGGAGGATCACTTGAGGCCAGGAGTTTGAGATCAGCCTGGGCAACATAATGACACCCTGTATCCAAAAAATTGTGGTGGCATGCATGGGAGACTGAGGTGGGAGGATCACTTGAGCCCAGGAGTCCAATGTTACAATGAGCTATGATTGCGCCACTACACTCTGCTTAGGAGACAGATGGAGACTTGTCTCTTAAAAAAATAAAAAATAACAGTATGTTCATTAAACATTAATCTCACTGATTGTGATTTTTTGTTTGTTTTTTTGAGATGGCGTCTTGCTCTGTTGCCCAGGGTGGAGTGCAATGGCGTGATCTTGGCTCACTGCAGCCTCCACCTCCTGGGTTCAAGTGATTCTCCTGCTTTAGCCTCCCAAGTAGCTGTGTTATTTCAGCTAATTTTTTCATTTTTAGTGGAGATGGGGTTTTGCCATGTTGGCCAGGCTGGTCTCGAATTCCTGACCTCATGTGGTCCACCTGCCTCGGCCTCCCAAAGTGCTGGGATTACAGGCATTGAGCCACTGTGCCTGGCCTGATTATGATTTTTTAAAGTCCCCCCCCAAATTATTGTTTGTGCAATAAATGGCAAAAAAGAAGCATTCTAAGAAAAAAGTAGTCTTAAAAGTTGATATGGTGTCAGAATTGTAAGAGAGAGGGTCTTGGCTGAAAAGCCTTTTTAGAAAAAATTGCTCCCTACAAAAAAGGCCTTTTCTACCTTTTCTCACATTTGTTTCTTTTTATAGGAGGCATCTGAGAAGACCAAATCTCTTCAAAGTTAAGCTTTTTGTTTTTTTGGGGGGGACGAAGTCTCGTTCTGTCACCCAGGCTGGAGTGTAGTGGCATGATCTCGGCTCACTGCAACCTCTGCCTCCTGGGTTCAAGCAATTCTCCTGCCTCAGCCTCCCGAGTAGCTGGAAATTCAGGCGCCTGCCACCATGCCCAGCTAATTTTTGTATTTTTAATAGAGGCAGGGTTTCACTATATTGGCCAGGCTGGTCTCGAACTCCTGACCTCATGATCCGCCTGCCTCTGCCTCCCAAAGTGTTGGGATTACAGGCATGAGCCACCGCACCCAGCCCAAAGTTAAGCATTTTTTAACCACAAGGTGGGAGGTGGAAGTATCTCGTTGGAAGACTAAAGGTGTCCACTAACGGTAGACCCTTTTTTTTTTTTTTTTGAGATGGAGTTTCACTGTCGCCCAGACTAGACTGAAGTGGCGCGATCTCGGCTCACTGCAACCTCTGCCCCCCAGGTTCAAGTGATTCTCCTGCCTCAGCCTCTAGAGTAGCTAGGATTACAGGGGTCCACCACCACACCTGGCTAGTTTTTGTATTTTCAGTAGAGACGGGGTTTCACCATGTTGGCCAGGCTGGTCTCGAACTCCTGACCTCAGGTGACCCACCTGCTTTGGCCTCCCAAAGTGCTGGGATTACAGGTGTGAGCCACTGCGCCTGGCCGTTTTTTTTTTTGTTGTTGTTGTTGTTTGTTCGTTTGTTTGTTTTGAGACAGTCTCTCACTCCAGGTTGGAGTGCAGTGGCACTATCTCAGCTCACTGCAAACTCTGCCTCCCAAGGTCAAATGATTCTCCTGCCTCAGCCTCCCAGTAGTTGGAATTACAGGCGCATGCCACCATGCATGGCTAATTTTTTGTATTTTTAGTAGAGACGGGGTTTCACCATGCTAGCCTTGAACTCCTGACCTTGTGATCTGCCTGCCTCGGCCTCCCAAAGTGCTGGGATTACAGACATGAGCCACCATGCTAGCCTTGAACTCCTGACCTCGTGATCTGCCTGCCTCGGCCTCCCAAAGTGCTGGGATTACAGACATGAGCCACCATGCCTGGCAAATTTTTGTATTTTCAGTAGAGATGGGGTTTTGCTATGTTAGCCAGGCTAGTCTCGAACTCCTGACCTCAGGTGATCCAGTCGCCTCGGCCTCCCAAAGTGCTGGGATTACAGATGTGAGTCACTACGCTTGGTAGACTCTTAACAGCGCTGAGAGACCACTCCAAGAGAGCAGAGAAATAATAGTTCTATTCTCAGTTGTCAAACAGCAAACAAAAAACCCTTGGCTGGGGGGTGATGGCTCACCCCTGTAATCCCAGCACTTTGGGAGGCTGAGGTGGGTGGATCACTTGAGGCCAGGAATTCAAGACCAACCTGGGCAACATGGTGCAACCCTGTCTTAACTAAAAATACAAAAATTAGCCAGGCGTCATGGCATGTGCCTGTTAATTCCAGCTGCTCGAGAGGCTGAGGCATGAGAATTACTTGAACCTGGGAGGTGGAGGTTGCAGTGAGCCGAGATCCCACCACTGCACTCCAGCCTGGGTGACAGAGCGAGACTTCGTCCCAAAAAAAAAAAAAAAAGCTGCAAATTTAAACGTTGAAGTCTAGGTAAATATACCAGGGAACTTCTGCTTAAGAGGCTTCTATGTAATGAAATTCTCTTGAAAACAGAGAAACTATTTCCTGTTTATTTTCTAAATTGAGACGTCACTTTTTAAAAATTGGTACCTGTAATTTAGCCATTTCCTACTCAGCAATGTCTCATTTAAACTATTATTTGTTTAGCGTGTTTCAAAGAGCAGATGTAAGCTTGAGCCCATCCTCTGTCCTATGACTAAGTCGATATTAGCAGGGGTTAGGACTGTTAGTTTTCCAGTTCCTACTGGAGGCAAATTCTTTGTTTACCACTGTTCTCTGTATTTCAAAAGCACCTGGAAATCAATAAAATTTGTTATTCAGAACAAAAGCCTTCTCTATATATCAGTATTTCCCAAAATGTGTTTGGAAATATAGGTATGTTAATCCAAAGGGATGGTACGAGGCTGTATTATTTAAGGAAATGGTCCCATAGCTTAGCATGTTTGGGAAATCCATTTCTTTTCTGCATTTCTCAGATTCTTTATTACATTAATATAAATTGTGAATTTTCAAATATTTTTTCTGACCAGAAGGCATACTTTCCATCCATCATCTTGTCCATGGAACACACTGCCCCACAACACAAATTAATTTGGAATGTATTATATATAATATATATAACATATAGCATATGTAACTTGTTCTGGAAGAACTATCTGGACTTTGAAGAGTTGTTGCAATGTTATTGCCTCATAAAAGGTCATTAAGTTTGGTCTTTCCCAAGCTTTATTTGGTGGTAATCAGTTATTTTTAGTGGACTTTGTTATACTTGCATAAGTACTTATTTTCAGGTAACATAATGGGAAAAAAGCATTATTTATATGGATATTAGTTCTTTATTGAGAATCAGAAATATTTTAAATTTACTAAATTCAGAGGTAGTCATGGCCTCTCCCCAATAAACTTTACAGTCTTAGACAATTTGTGCATTTTAATAAATTCTTAGTTATAGTATTAAAGAAAGTGGCTGGGCGCGGGGGCTCACGCCTGTAATCCCAGCACTTTGGGAGGTCCAGGCAGAGGCAGGCAGATCATGAGGTCAGGAGATCGAGACCATCCTGGCTAACACGGTGAAACCCCGTCTCTACTACAAATACAAAAAATTAGCCGGGCGTGGAGACAGGCACCGGTAGTCCCAGGTACTCGGGAGGCTGAGACAGGAGAATTGCTTGAACCCGGGAGGCAGAGGTTGCAGTGAGCCGAGATCACGGCACTGCACTCCAACCTGGGTGTTAGGGCGAGACTCCGTCTCAAAAAAAAAAAAAAGAAATAAAAAAAGTTACCAGGAAAACTGGTAAGATCAGCTATAAAACATCTATAAAAGGCAATGGAGTAGTTCATATGCAAAAGTATGATAAAATGGTGAGCAATACTGTACAGTATCTGCTTATTAGTTGATATAATGTAAAGTCTATAACAAACCCAAACTTCTACTTTAGCTACAGTACTGTGGACTTTCAATGCTCTTTAACTAGTCTGGTCATCATAATTTTCTCCCCCTTCCCCCTTCTAAAGTCATGAGGAAAATATAAAGGATCTATCATAAAATATACATCAACTGTATTGTTACCATATAGAATAACAACCAGACTTCTCAATAAGCAACTTATCTATTGCAGTAAGACAATATGCTATGCTTATCTTTCTGGATTCCCCAGGAAGAGATACTTCCAATCTAACATCAGATATTTTTACTTTCTAAACAGAGCTAACTTGTACCATTTTTAGAAACAGATCACAAATGCAAATTTGCTTCTGGAACAAAACATAACATTGATTTCTTGGAAAGACTTTTGGAAATGTTGAGAAAAAGCTTTTAACATTTCAGATACATCCAACAGTTCATGTCTGAATGTAATTAAGCATCCAAATCAACACTGTCATTTATCTGCAGGGACTTAATGTTTTTCTAAAATACTCTTTGCCATTTAGATTCAATCATGTCAACATTTACCAACATTTGAGTAGGTATACTCTTTAAGAAGGTATATTATACTGCCTTCAAAATACTTATTACCTGAGTGTTAACTATCATCTTTCCTCCACCTGAACAAGCACCAAAAATGTAGCATCTCTTACCAGTCACAGAATCACCGTTCAGCGTGGCGGGGGGTGGTCTCCATTTTACAGATAAAGAAACTGAATGTGTGGCGGATTTGAATCCAGGGCTTCTGCCTTTTTTCTTTCTTTCTTTTTTCTTTTTTTTTTTTTGAGACAGAGGTTCGCTCTGTCACCCCGGCTGGAGTGCAGTGCAGTGATGTGATCTTGGCTCACTGCAACCTCTGCCTTCTGGGTTCAGGCGATTTCTCCTGCCTCAGCCTCCCAAGTAGCTGGGATTACAGGTGCCTGCCACCACGCCCGGCTAATTTTTGTATTTTTTTTTAGTAGAGATGGGGTTTCACCGTGTTGGCCAGGCTGGTCTCGAGCTCCTGACCTCAAGTGATCCGCCTGCCTCAGCCTCCCAAAGTGCTGGGATTACAGGCATGAGCCACCGTGCCTGACTGCTGCTTTCTAAATACCATTTCACTCCCACATTTTTCTCCCATCATGAAAGTGTGTATCAGGTTGGTTTCTCTATAAAAGGAATTATAGCTGAACTAGAGCTGGAGGAGCATAACCACCAGCCCAAGAGGGAGGGGAAAAGCCGGAAAGGCGTTGGGCAGGGAGGTGGCTTGGGTACCTGGTTTGACCACAGTTAGAATATCATGATTGTGTTTTGTTAGTCTTTAAATGATTTTGAGTCTGATAGATAACTAAATTCTGATTTTAAAAACTATTTCAGCAAGAGATTTACATTAAGGCTCATGAACTAATTCAGATTTTTGTTCGTGTCTCTTCAAAAATTGCTATCTTAGAAAAGTTAGAATTCAATGCCCAGTTGAAAAATTGCTTGGGGCTTGATAGCAAATCAAGTTTCATCTTATATACTTTTAATTTGTAATATACCAAAGTCATTTTTGCAATACTATATTATGTACTTTCAAGTATATAATTACTGCTTCTTTAAATACAAATGATCAAGATATTCAGATTATTATGAGTTTTTTTTGGTTATCATCTATTGCTGCTGCACAAATTACCAGATTTCATAATTGGTTTAAATAAGCCTCCAATTTGTTTATATTTATTAACATGTATGATTTTGTGCATGTAGAATAAGCTTGGCATAGAAATGGCCTAAATGCTCCTGTAGCTCTTCATTCCTTTGTCGTTCTCACTCTCCATGCCAGTATGTCTCATTTCTAGATCCCATAGAACTTTCAATTGAAAGTAATAACCAAGGCAACTCACTTTCCATGAGTAATACACCACACTTCTAGAAATCAGCCTATATTACTGTCACACTGGGGATTAAGTAAAAAAAAGAGAAAGAAGGATGGGAAGGGGAGGGAAGGGGAGGGGAGCGGAGGAAAGAAGAAAAGGAAGGGAAGGGGAGGGAAAGGGAGAGAAGGGGAGGAGAGGGAAAGGAGGGAGGAAGGTAGGAAGAGGAGAAGGAAGGAAGAAAGGAAAGAAATCTGCTCACCAGAGTTGCTATTTTTTTTTTCTTTTCTGTTTAGTGCTTTACCCCTTAATTCTTATAGGTAACGGTCTAATACAGGGTAACTCTCATAGTGGAGAACTTGAGAAGCATTAGTACTTCAAATTGAGTCCTAATGGTAAAATTTTTTTCTGATAAAAAAAGGTACTTTGTAGTGCTGTTAGGAGGTAACATAATACCTTTACTACCAATCTTAGGATCAATTCAAGGTTCAGTAAAAGGAATGTATCTGGAATTCTTGATTATAGACATGAAAACACTCTTCTGTCAGCGTTCATAGTGAGCTGGGAGGTTGCCTACGCATTAAGACCTAGCTTCATAAAATGACTCAAAGCCCTAGGCAGTTTCTGGGAAGGACTGGGAGTAGCAGTCTCCTGGCACCCCTTGTTCATTCATTCATTCAGTACCTACTATGTGCTAGGCTTTGAGGATATAACAATGAATTTTTCAAACAAATTAAATAGACCTTGGCCTCAAAGAGCTCACATTCTACTAGAGAAGGCACACATGGAGAAGATTATAATACAATGTTGTAAATCCAATAGTAGAGATAACCAGTTTATTTTGGGGAGCAAAGAGAAAGGGTCCCTAACCCCAGACTGCCTGCGAAGAGGTGAAATGGAATTGAATGGGATTATGGTCAGCCAAGGCTTCCTAGTGGAGCTGCTACCTGAACTGAGTTTTAAGAGGGGTAGGAAAGAAAAAATGTAGTGGGTCATAATGGCATTCCAGATACAGGGGACACAAACAGCTCTGTGTTTATGAACTACAACCAGTTGTTGACTTTTGTTTCAAGTGGCTCCCCTTCCCCAGTGCTGTGTGGACGATGGACTGAAGAGGAGAAGGCTGGGAGCAAGGGACCAGTAAGCTGTTGCAGCAGTGCAGGTGAGATATGAGGCCTCAACTCTGCAGTGTTGACAACCATAGAGAGCAGAGAGCAGAATTCATCAATATTTATCAGCACCAATTTTTTTTTTTAAGACAGAGTCTCACTTCTTCACCCAGGCTGGAGTACAATGGCGCAATCCCGGCTCACTGCAACCTCTGCCTCCCAGGTTCAAGCGATTCTCCTGCCTCAGCCTCCCCAGTAGCTGGGATTACAGGCATGCACCACCACGCCCGACTAATTTTTTTTTTTTTTTTAGTAGAGATGGGGTTTCACCATGTTGGCCAGGCTGGTCTTGAGCTCCTGACCTCAAGTGATCCGCCCGCCTTGGCCTCCCAAAATGCTGGGATTACAGGCATGAGCCACCATGCCTGGCCAACACCAACCTTTAGTTACTTGCTGAATACACAGGATTAAGGAGGAAGAGAAAGTATCAAGGATGACTCCCAGGTTCCTAGCTTGGTGGTCCCAGTAATTGAGAGAGAGAATGCAGCAGGAAGAGCAGCTCTAGGGGGAACAGGATGAGTATCTCCACATGATGGGTTGGAGGTACCTGTGAGTCACATCCAGGTGGATGTGTCCTGTGGGCAGTGGGACGCGAGTCTGAAGCTCAGGCAAGAGGCTAGAGTTACATCTTTGGAGTCATCAGCCTAATGGAGGACTGTGGCATCCAGGTGCCAAAAGCTAGGGAAACGGCTCTGGAGAGAGAGGGGCTTTCTTAATTGACCTGTATGCTTTGAAGCTCTATAGAGACACAATCTTATCCCTTCAGGCCTGTATTTTCTTGGGCCACTAAGATGTGGTTACATATTTTCTCTCACATCTCCTAGAACGTTTGCAAAACAATTCCCAGTCCTATGATCATTTCTCCCTTCTTCTGAGAACTAATTATATATGGCACTTAATATCTATTCACATGTAGCACTCATGGTGAGGTGTTTTTTTTGTTTGTTTGTTTTTGTTTTTTTTTTTTTGAGACAGAGTCTTACTCTGTTGCCCAAGCTGGAGTACAATGGCACTATCTCGGCTCACTGCAAACTCCGCCTCTAGGGTTCAAGCGATTCTCCTGTCTCAGCCTCCTGAAAGGCTGCGATTACAGGTGCCCGCCACCACACCCCGCTAATATTTAGTAGAGACAGGGTTTCACCATGTTGGTCAGGCTGGTTTTGAACTCCTAACCTCAGGGTGATCCGCCCACCTTGGCCTCCCAAAGTGCTGGGATTACAAGGTGTGAGCCACTGCTCCTGGCCTTATGGTGAAGTCTTGTATGTAGAAGATCAATAAATGTTCATCTTCATTGCTTATATTCATCCGGTTCTCTGTATACAAAATGATCTTCTTTTTGCAGGCATTTTTTTGCTTCTCAAGTTTTAACTTCTTACACATTTTAAGACTACTTCAAGATTAATTTGAGTGTAAATGAGCAGTACTTGTTAGGTAAGTGTCTTCCATTCACCGTCAAGACTGAATCATTCTTTTCATTATCACCACATATTGCTTATTGTGGAATTTGGAAACATCCATTTCTCTTCTTCAGGAAGATCGTGGAGTTTCTCCAGTCAAGGTCCCACTAGAGTGAGTTAGGGTTGCAGTAACCTGGAGTGAGCAATCCCTGATTCCAGGTGGTGATGTGGGTTGAGTTTCACATTTTACTTTATTTGAAGAATATGTGCAAAAGACTCACTAAAAATAAGAACAAACTAGGCTTTGTTGCAGCTGAGTGGTCTGGCAAATTTCTGTATAGAGGAATCATTGGGCATGAAGGATTTGATACTGGGATAGAATCCAATTGCCCTTGGAATGGAAGTAGAATATCCTTTTTAAGAGCACTGAAGTTCTGGGATTTCTCCGGAATAATCACCTTTGTGATGTGTGGATCATGTCCAGGGACTGTAACCTGAGAAGAAACAAGAGACAATTATATGAGTGACTTAAGATGGTTCGTGGTGCCCACACTGAAAACACTGATATCCATCACTAAAATGCAGCCTTTGTGCAATGCATGTAACAATCTACCAGACCTCTGGGCCAGCAACAGATTTGGTCCTGCAGGCTGAGTTATCCAATGCCTGTTGACAGAGACCAGCGTTGTGAATGCTGTTGCCAAGAATTACAAAATGAAATAAGGACAGATGGGTACCTCATCTGGCAATGTAAGTCAAGAGAAGGAAGCAGCAGATGTTTCTGCCACCATCCTTTTCGTGGGGCAGAAGGGTAAAGAGATAACTCTTTCCCTTTGTCCCAAGTGTGTATTTAACATCCTCCTTGGATATCAAGATTATTTTCAAGTAGAATTATTTTCTCAACTTACTAATTTCTTTTCAGCTGACCTACAAGCCTATTGCTTCTTTTAAAAGCTTTTCTTTCTTTCTTTTCTTTTTTCTTTTTTTTTTTTTGAGATAGAGTCTTGCTCTGTCACCCAGCCTGGAGTACAGTGGCTCAATCTTGGCTCATTGCAACCTCCGCCTCCCGGGTTCAAGCGATTCTCCTACCTCAGCCTCCCAAGTAGCTGGGATTACAGGTGCATACCACCATGCCCAGGTAATTTTTTGTATTTTTAGTAGAGACAGGGTTTCACCACATTGGCCAGGCTGGTCTTGAACTCCTGACCTCAAGTGATCCACCTGCCTCTCAGCCTCCCAAAGTGCTGAGATTACAGTCATGAGCCACCACATCCACCCTCCTTTAAAAGCTTTGATTTTACCTGGTTTTGTTCATATCAGCCTGAATCTTTGGTTAGGCTTTCTTTTTTTTTTTAGTGGAGGAAATGATCAGGACAAGACAAATGCTAAACTAACTACAGGCAATGTCTACTGAGAAATGCTTTTATTATATATGGTGGAGAAGGGAAAAAATGGGGAATGACATTTACATAACCACTCATTGGTATGTATTTTACACATTCATTTCAATGTCCAGAGTCTTACCTTCAAATATTATCCTAGAACTAATATCTAGGGTCAATGTGTACTGTGTTAGTCTAACTAATGGGAAATGAACAATTCATAACTTTATTCTAAAGGTGTGGCTTATTTATGAGGTTGCATATAAGTTTAGATTCACTACAGGGAAAATCATATTTTTAAATAGAATAGAAATATCACAGTAAATAGGAGGAAAATAAAGGGCCTTTTTAGACAAAGATTCACAGTGAGTTGAGATTTTTCAAGCTCTATCCATTTTCTCGGCAGGAGTAGAAATTCCTAAAAGGATTAGCAATTGATAAGCCTCACATCTAGGCACCTTGGGGAGAACCCATGGAGCATGGAGGCTCTGAATTCTATAGTTTTATAAACTAAAAACCATGTTTTTTCCATGATGTCCTCAAGATGAAATAATAAAATACCAACTCAGTTTTCACTACAGAAGAGATGACTACCTTCTCCCAGGATTAGCTCTATATAGAATGACTGCTATGGTTGGCATAAGCCCCACTAAGCAAAATAGAAGAATCCTGAATTTCTCAGAGAAATTCACATCAAAGAGAAAGAGGCAAAATCTGGCCAACTATATCAATACTTATTCATTTAGTTCTTTCACATAAATCCACTCAGGCTCAAATTAGTCCATGCCTTCCTGTCTTCGGATAAAATGACTCAGAAATATATATTTTATGGAATTAAAGACTGAAATTTTACTTGCATCGATGAAAAAAGGGCTGCAAAATATGTTTATCATTTGCTGAATATAGTGTTAAAATTTGTGGATCAGATTTCACTTATAAAATGAATTCTAAGGAACTTTATCCAATTCATTTTTTATAGTAGAAAGTGTATGCCGTGGAATGGGTGTTGTGTCGTATCCTGGGAAACTATAAACTACCTTTGCTACATTGCTTATTCTTTATTATTAATCGGGTTACATTTTAATCATAAAAGATATCACAAGAGATAGGATTTGGCTTCCATTTTTTAAAAATTGCCATCAGGGAAAAAATATGAATTTTTGTGGTTTTTTTTTTTTTCATATAATTTCCACCTCTTCCACCTCCTGCCAATTGCAAGTCTGACACTATCCTTTCTTTCTGTCTCGATGGATCTACTTTTGAACTTCCTAGACTTATTTTGGATTCCTTCTGGGTGAATAAGTATTATGAGTTCTATAATATTTTAATAACAATAACTAGCATTGCATACTTACATTTATTATATAAGACCCAGGCAAGAGAAGGAGATAATACTCTCCATATTTGTTGGTTCTATAGGGGCAGATATGTTTTCTGTCTTGGACTTCCACAATTACATTGGGTAATGGATTTCCATTCTGATCAAAAACTTGACCCTTTACACCTGCAAGACAAAAATAAAATTAAATATTAATACCATATTTTATGGCATATAAAAATTATTATAAATATTTAAGAACAATATATGCAATATTTATTAGCTAACTCAATGTTGTGAGTTAATATTAAGTGTTAGAGAGGGAAAAAACTTATTTTTGATGTAACTTAAAATACAGTCAAAATTACTAATCTGATTTATAGCTTAAATTTGTTCGTTGTTGAATAGCCCATTTATATTAGTACGTATTATCACAGTGAGAGAACACAGATGACAACCTAAGATCCATTCCTGTCACTTCCAAGTTATTTACTCAGTCACCAAACTGTACTACAACCATTGGTGGATTCCATAAAATCCTAAATAAAAACGGTGTCAATGTATTAGTTACAACAAAATATTTACGTGTGCGAGGGACTCAATAGTTTTGTCTTGTAGTGCAACTACATGGGAAGCAAAATTATAATCACAAGGCTTCTTGGAAGCATGGAATCGATTGGCCAGTAACAGCAGCCAATATTTATTGAGCACTTAGTATATTCCAGGCTCTGTACTAACTACCAAATGAGCATTTTCTCATTAAATTCTCATATCAGCTCTGTGTCATCAATTATTATCATGATTTTACAGATGAAAAAAACTAAGGCTCTGGCTTATTAAAATAACCTCCTCAAACTCACACAGCCAACGAAGTGGCCCAGCCTAGCCGTCAACCCATGATAGTCTCGACAGCCCCTCTCAAAATTTCAGGAGTACAATTTTTAAAAAGCCATTTATATTTTAAGACCTTTCTTATTTTAGATCCTACGTGTCACATCTAGTTTGTTTACTCCAGCGTCAAATCATATTACCTTAAGGTGAAGCTGCCTAAGTCCCCAATAACATAAATGAGAATGAAGAGCTACAATAGTAAGATGATCTTGAACTCTCCCCAAACAGTTATGCTCAATAATTATTTATTAGGGCAGAAAAATACGAGGCACACGTAACAGTTTCCCCCAGAAACGGTTAAAGTGAAAAATAAAAATTTTGGCATTTAGCAAAACAATGTTTATCTTGAACTTCAACAAACTTCTATCTGACCTAGGTTGCCTTTTATTATACTTTCTGTCCTATTTAGTTCCTGACTCTTCATTTTTTGTCTCCTGAGGAGGAAAATGCCACATTTCCTTCTCCCTTTCTCTATACAACTGTGTAAACTTCTATTTTCACTTCGTGTGTTCCTCTTTGCCCTCTCTTTTTTAAACACAGTTCCATTTATATTTATTCCTACTGCTTGATACATATCCTTTTGATGTTTAGGTAGTACCCAATCATAAATTGGTAATAATTTGGTAACCTGATTACGCATTTATTCCTTGGGTTTCAGTGGCATTATTTTGTTTTATTTAATTAATTAATTAACTTTTTGTAGAGATGGGGTTTCACCATGTTGCCCAGGCTTGTCTTGAACTCCTGGGCTCAAGCAATCCACCTGCCTAAGCTTCCCAAAGTGCTGGGATTACAGGTGTGAGGCACCACACTCAGCTTCAATGGCATTATTTTGAAGAGCTATTTACACTGTGCCCCCCTTAGGAGGTCCTTTGATATGTGATAAATATAGCGTGTACCCATCATCATAGCTTGGTGTGACAGAAAGAACCTAGTCAGGTTTTGATTTGAATTCTAGTTCTCAAGTCACTGAACATTCCCAAGCCTCAATTTTATCACCTATGAAATGGGGATAATATACCACCACCCAGGATGGTTGTGAAGATTAAATGTAAGTAACACAGAACAGGAGGATCAACAAACATTAATTCTTGCTTTCCTTTCTTCTTCTTTTTTTTTTTTTAGACAGGGTCTTGCTCTGTCACCCAGGCTGGAGTGCAGTGGTGTGATCAGGGCTTACTGCAGCCTTGACTTCCCATGCTCAAGCAGTCCTCCCACCTCAGCCTCCCAAGTAGGTGGGACTACAGGCACACACCACCACACCTGGCTAATTTTTGTATTTTTTTGTAGAGGTGGGGTTTCGCCATGTTGCACAGGCTAGTCTTGAACTCCTGAGCTCACATGATCTACCTTGGCCTCCCAAAGTGCTGGAGTGCAGGGATTATAGGTGTGAGCCACCAGGCCTGGCTTTCTTTCCTTTCCTCTTATTTGGATTAAGAAAAACTATGTGGTGTGGCGGGGGGAGAATATATTAGATGAATTTCTGGAGTCTTAATTCAACTTTGTTCCACAAAGCAGGAATATGTGAGGGAAGAAGCTATGCATATTATTTCCTTTTCCAGGGCTCTGAGCTAGTTTACAGTCTTCATGCCACTTAGAAAATCCATGCGTTTCAGCAAGGTAACTTGTGCTGGATGGTGTTGTGTCTGTTGGCATCTTTTGTATTTTTTGTTGACTTCCCCAAAACCAACCAAATCGAAGAAAATCAAGTGCATAAAAAATGAAGCAGAGCTATCATTGAAACTGACATTACACAATTTTTTGTTTTTTTTTTTGAGATGGAATTTTGCTGTTGTTGCCCAGGCTGCAATGGCGCGATCTCAGCTCACTGCAACCTCTGCCTCCCGGGTTCAAGCAATCTCCTGCCTCAGCCTCCTAAGTAGCTGGGATTACAGGCACGCACCATCACGCCCATCTTATTTTGTATTTTTAGTAGAGACAGGGTTTCTCCATGTTGGTCAGGCTGGTCTTGAACTCCTGACCTCAAATGATCCGCCCGCCTCAGCCTCCCAAAGTGCTGGGATTACAGGCGTGAGCCATCGCGCCCGGCTAACATTACACCATTCTTTAACATTGGAGATAATGATGAAATAGAATTCAGGGTACTAGTAATGAGTAGTTGGCAGAAGACACCAAAAAAAAAAAAAAAAAAAAAAAAAAGTCATGGTACCCTTTAAAAAAAGGCAGCAAATTTCTTCTTGGCTAGAAGCAGTTACACTTTAATAGAACAGATTTGACTTTTTTGACAGTCACATGACAGTGATTTTGGATGGCCTCAGGGACTTGAACAACACCTACGTATCAGTGTGTGCTGCAGCTGAATCAAGGCTCCAGTCAACCTGCGGTCTGCCTACCCTCAAAGATAGAAAAAGGAAGAACAATTTGCATTTGAAGAAATGTCTGAAAATCTTCATATTCCAGTTTGACCCTCATTCGTCATCCCCTAATAACCCAAAGATTCACTTTCTTTTTTTTTAAATTGAAGTCTCCCTCTGTTGCCCAGGCTGGAGTGCAGTGGCACCAGTTCGGCTCACTGCAACTTTCATCTCCCGGGTTCAAGCGATTCTCCTGCCTCAGCACCCCAAGTAGCTGGGATTACAGGTGCCCACCACCACACCTGGCTAATTTTTGTATTTTTAGTAGAGATGGGTTTCACCACGTTGGCCAGGCTGGTCTCGAACTCCTGATCTCAAGTGATCCGCCCACCTTGGCCTCCCAAAGTGCTGGGATTACAGGCCCAAAGACTCACTTTCATATGACTCTTACCTAAACCTAAAGATGGTTCTTCCAGCTATGGAAGCCTGGGGTATGCGAATATCACTGTTACTGGGCAAACACAGACCATGCTTATGTATGGAATTTATATTCAAAGGAAAACCCCTCCCACCAGCCAAATAAAAGCGTGCTTTAGCTTGTATATGTCTTTACAATATTTTGTCTACATACCACCAAACCTTTTACTTAAGAGGGAAGTAATTGTTTTACCAGAAAATGTGATTTATTTCTATATGCTGAAGTTGAAACATTGAAAAAAAGACTGGTAGACCCTAAGAGACGCAGAGAGAGCCAACACTATATTAAAAAAAAAAAAAGGAAAATTTGAAAAATGCTCAGATACAATACAAATGAGAAGACATAAAATCTGAGATATAAATTCTGTGGCCAGATGGGGAGATACATGGGAGAAATGTAAAGCTCTTTTTCCCTTGGAAATGGATTAGAGCTTCATGAATGAAAAGTCTTGGCTGGGCAAGCACTAGAATTCTGCATCTGTTGGCCACAATTTAGAGTCGGAGCTGGGACAGTACTTAGGAGACTGCTTGTTTGTGCCCATGTCCCCACCGCATGGTCACAGTTGCCTCCTATTTTGGATGTGATAACAGATCCACATCTGTGGCTCACAGGCTTCTGGAACTCAGCACATACCAGATTCTTTTATGCCCAGGTTGCTTAGGTTTCTGGATGCTGTGAGCCATTCCCTTGCTCTCTAGGTTCAGATCTGCTTTGAGGAGTCCAGGGGAAAGACAGGGCCGCAGCAGGCAGGTAACACCGTGTCTGGCTCATCTTTGCTTCTCCTCAGAGACCGGGACAAGCAAGACATTTTAAGCCTCTAGAATTCAGACTTGCCCTCCTTTGCTACTTTGGTTTTAATGTCTGCCGACACCCTCATCTCAACTTGAACCTAGTAAATCATCCTCTAAGCAGGACAACACAGCACCAAGGGGCCCGAGTTTCAGTTGAGGTCTGCAGTGAGTTCTAATTGAAGGAATAACACCACTGAAGCCTTAGAACAGGCTGGTGGGAGGCAAGGCTGATGCTATTACTCTCAACTTTCTGTTGACTACACTGAGATTCAGACAAGTGCTTGCTCAAGATTGCAAACATCGCCAGATGACAAAACAGCTTGGGCTCTACCTAAGCCTCTACCCTCTTGGCAAGGCCCTTCCACTAAAGCAGAAGGCCTTTCCTTCCCAGACAAGGTGGCTCAGAGACTTCCAGATGGGTCAAAACCTCAGAAACTCAGAAGCATCCTAGCAATTGGTAAAATGGAACCAGTAAATGCAATGCAGTTTGACGAATATCAATAATGTCTTTAAACCAGAGCAATACCAATAAAGGGGTGTTTGCTGCCATTCTTCACAAACAAAATATTCATTAGTTTCTTATTGGGCACTAGTAGGGAGAGAACCTTTCTATTAAGTAGTAATAACCACACTGTATTGGTATTTTGAAATATGGTTTCATTATTAAACCATGTTATGCATCTGTCTTAAACCACAAGGGGGCAGGGTTGATGTGCCAATATATGTATTTTTTGAGTGAGTTGTTTGCATCTGATTATAGAGACAGGCAGATACACATTCTTTATAAAACCTAATGCAAATGGGCTGGGCATGGTGGCTCATGCCTGTAATCCCAGCACTCTGGGAGGCCGAGGCCGGCGGATCACCTGAGGTCAGGAGTTCAAGACCAGCCTGGGCAATATGGTGAAACCCTGTCTCTACAAAAATACAAAATTAGCCGGGCATGATGGTGGGTGTCTGTAATTCCAGCAAATTGGGAGGCTGAGTGGGAGAATCACATGAACCTGGGAGGCGGAGGTTACAGTGAGCCGAGATCATCACACCATTGCACTCCAGCCTAGATGACAGAGCGAGACTCCGTCTCAAAAACAAAAAAACAAAACCTAGTGCAAATGGACTGGTAAGCCTTCCAAATTATTAAAAATAATAATAGGTATACTGCAATTTATATTGCCCTTTCCCTGGCAATATTACATCAACATGATACTTCAAAGCCCACCTTAATTCAGTGCTTGGTAAATAATCTTTACAGCTAGATTGAGGTTCTGAAAATAGTAGTGCAGTTACACAGAGCATATTTGATGTTCACTTGCACGCCCATACCCATGTTGATACTGGTGAAGAATGAATTTCAGAAAAGGATAGGCAGAGCCAGTCACGGTGGCTCACACCTGGGATCCCAGCACTTTGGGAGGCTGAGGCAGAAGGATCGCTTGAGCCCAGGAGTTTGGGACTCACCTGGACAACATAGCAAGATTCTGTCTCTATATAAAATTGTTTAAAAAATTAGCTGGATGTGGTGCTGTGCACCTGTAGTCCTACTTACTTGGGACACTGAGGCAGAAGGATCACTTGAGCCCAGGAGTTCAAGGTACAGTGGGCAATGACTGTGCCACTGTACTCCAGCCTGGGTGACAGAGTGAGACCCTGTCTCTAAAATGATGATAATGATAATAATAGTAATAGATTAACAAACTAAAGGATCAATAGAGGTAGAAATATAATAGAAATGTTAGACTAATACATGACATGCCTCATGAGGAAAATCTAGTGGAGAAAGAATTACCAGAATACTAAGCAAGAGAGAACCCAAGACAACGTTTGATGACATAATGAAGAAGGTGAAAGTCCCAATAATAAGTTTATAATCTTTATTAAGATGCTGGTGAGAAAGAACGATATTTCATAACATCCCCTATCACAGGGAGTCAACCTAGTCCATGAACGACTCAGCCAGTTAGACATAGCCCTGTGAGTTTACCAGTAATCTTTGTGTACTTCTCTTCAGGTCAGGGCATGGAGGCTGGGGATACAGGTATGAAAGAGGGCAGGGGCATCCCTTTTAGGGATGTGTGCCGAGGAAGGGTCCTAATCATCCTTGCACTCAGCCCTCTGGCCCTGTGCTACCTTCCCTCATCCTTCTCCATCTTCTTTGTAGCAGGAGGAAAGCTTTGCTGTGAATCATGCAGAAAATTCCGGGAATTATGCAGTTATGCAGTAGGCCCATGCAGCAAACCTTTTCAACACCCACACACACCCACACACACACACACTCACACTCTCTCTCTCTCTCTCTCCATGTGGTATCATAGCTATTATGCCAATTCCTGATATGTTTCTCTCCCCAAGCCATTCTGAATGGAGAAAGATAACTTCACCTCTGTAAATATAGAAGAGCCTTCCACACCTTGCCCAAAGAGACACCACCTGGTTAATAAACTTGAACTGTACAAGATTCCATCATCATCTCTAGCAGTGTGTTTCTCTAGTGCAATGGCTTTCTAAGTATAGCCGCTGGACCAGCAGCATCAGCATCACGTGGTAAGGTGGTCCAAACAGAAACTCCGGGTTGGGGCCTGGCAATCTGTTTTAGCAAGCGCTCCCGGTGAGTCCACTGCACGTTTGAAAGCTATCACTCTCTGCCACATTTAGTCTGTCTATCTGTGATAAGGGCCAGCCAGCCTTCAGCAAACAGGCTGGCAAGATTTCTAGCACCAGGACATCTGGCAGAGTTCGGAGGTGAGAGGGGTTGAAGGTAATGGTGCTAGCTCACCACCCCAATTCTGGAAAAAATGCAAAGTGGTATGTCCAGTGTTCTCAGGGTCCTTGGTACTGCGTGGTGAGTGACAAGCAAACATAGTATTTTTCTAAATGGGAGATGATGTAACAGAGTAGCAGCCTATTTTCCTGATATTTTGCCAGATTTCTAGATCATTCAACATGTAAAATTAGGGGGACTCTGGATGTTTGTTTGTTTGTTTGTTTGTTTTTGAGATGGAGTCTTACTCTGTCACCCAGTCTGGAGTACATTGGCACCATCTTGGCTCCTTGGCGGAGGGAGCAACTTCTGCCTCCCGGGTTCAAGTGATTCTCCTGCCTCAGCCTCCCAAGTAACTGGGACTACAGGCGTGTGCCACCACGCCTGGCTAATTTTTGTATTTTCAGTAGAGATGAGGTTTCGCCTTGTTGGCCAGGCTGGTCTCGAACTCCTGACCTCAGGTGATACACCTGCCTCGGCCTCCCAAAGTGCTGGGATTACAGGCATGAGCCACCACGACCACCTGGTACTCTGGATTTTTATACCCTCATATTAAAGGAACATGCATCATGCTTCCTTTTCTATGAATGAGTGGGCACTGCATTTCTCACACACTGCAGATACTCATGCAGAGAGAATTCTTAACCATCAGATCTGGCACTGAAATGAGGCTATAACTACAAAGCATAAATAAAGGCTTGCGTTTAGTCAACCCAGAGGTCTTGCCAGATGCTCTATTTTGTATTAATAGGGAATTAATAAGAAAATTTTACAAACCTAGGTGCACCTGCTTTATATATTCAATTAATGAGGCTTTGTTATTATTCCAAAAGGATGGAAGCTTCTCCTCACGAGGATATTTACAGCATGACAGCTCCAACGTAATTTCAAAACACTGGGCCCAGATGTAGTTGTAATCTTGCATTCCACCTAAACACAAGCATATTTAATTTTTGTTAGGGTCTAAAATTGGAGTGGAGCCAAGTATCACGTGCCTCGGGGACAAATGAATCAGACAGCTACATGTAAACAGGAAAAAATGAATTTGACATATTAGCTTGTAAAATCAGGGCTTGACATTCTATTACCCAGGCGTGACTAGACAATCCTAAATATTCCCATATGGGTAACTGGATCAGAGCTGACTGAAGTTCAACTGTGCATCAAAATTAAGTGACGGGTGAAGGAAGGGTCCTTTTTTGTTTTTATTTTTTGAAATCCTACATTACAAAAATGATTCTTTGAATTTCATTTCTTTCTTAAATTACATTTTACATGGATATAAGCTAGAATAAGATTCCTTTAAAATATTTCTACAAATCATTTATAAATACACTTACTAAGCAAAGCTAAGCATGCTAATTTGGGGGAATCATGGGCCAACATTCACTATTGCCAGGTACCATATGAAGTGCTTTGTATCAGCTCATTTAATCCTCACAGCAATTGCCCCTACTTTACAGATGAGGAAACATGATCACAGATGTTAAAGAAAAGTGCTCAGGGGTTTTGGCCAGTAAATGACAGACACTGGAGTGCAGGCCACCTTCCGCCAGCACCTGTGGGCTTCCCCAATATGCCAGAGTGCTCCTGGGGATCAAAGAAAGAGTGCTGCACTGCCTCTCAGAGGTGAACGGCCCGGCCCCCTGTGGAGCCCAGGCTGCCACTGCTCATGCTGACTTTCCAGTTCTCTCCTCTGGTCCCTTACTTTCAAAGGGTTTGTTTTAAATAGCAAAACAGGCAGGCATTATGGATCCCTAGCAGATAGCCAGAACTGAGAATGCCAAGCGTGGAGGGGGCAGTTCTGGATAAGGCGGGTCAGGCCTGGCCAACAAAACATCCAGGCCAGGCCAGGCACATTCTTCTGGGCTCCTCAAGGCAGCTGGCTTCACCTGTTTTTTGTCTGAGAAGGATACACAGCTCACACACAGGCACACTGGGGAACAATTCCCAGCAGCAACCGTTTCTAGCTAATTTCCTACACATCTGGATTTGCCTTCGAAAGTTAGACAGTGAACATGAAGGACAGCTCTGCCACTGGACAGGATGGGCCCTTTCTTAGCTACAAATTGTGGAGAGCAGGGACGATGCAGAAGCCCTAAGGTAGGAGAGGGGGCTGTATCTTGGACACCAGAGAGAGGTTTGGAATGCTGCCTGGACCTGTTGCCTATCAGTTGTGGTCTATGCTTATTTATATTACCAGGAAAACTGACAGAGAGCCACCCAGGCATAAAAATACCAGCTTGTGAAAGATTACCTGAAAGCCTGTGCATCCAAAGTGACAATTAGGGAAGGCACCTTTGGAAGTGGCCTGCACGCAGAAATGCATGCCGCAACTTGCTGTTGGTGGGGTCAGGCTAACGAGTCTAAAAGGGAATGTTTTCCCCTGAGGCATGGAAATCCAGTTCCAGTCCGTCTCTCCTCCTGTCCTTCCACCCTAGGTCCCTCCTACCCCGGGTTTCTGTTTATATTATTCCCTCTAATAAGAATATCTCTCCTTCCATGTTGCCTACATGACAATCTCATCCTGTCCCTTACCCGGCTGTCTTATTCCAAGATTGGAGAACTGGGGGCCCTCCTCCCACTGTATCCTGTCTGAAGAGCTCTTTTGTTGAGCCCGCAAAATGGCTTTAAAATCATGATACTTCATGTACAAATTCAGCTTCTCTTTACAAACTGCAAGATCTGGCAGTATTGGCTCCCCAAGGCTGCATGACAATAATTAGCTAGATCTAGTAGCAGCTGTCCCTGTTAGATGGGATGTAAGCATCACATTTCTCCAAGCTCTTCACTACTCCCTATTGTATTTTGGCTCTGTGCACCCTTGGGGTACACTGCACCTTCTCTAAATCTGTTTTTATTCTAATTGCACTGCTATCACAATTACTTATCTGCGTGTCTGTCTCCCCTATTCAACTCCAGGGTGAGGTGTGTGTCTTGTTCATCTTTCAGTTCCTGGCTCACAGTAGGCAGACACAGAATAAGTACCTGAATGAATGAAGAAGGCCCTTGGTAATGAGGAACATGTCTGAGCATCTCTCAAACAATCAGTCATCTCCACTGCTCTTATGATATTAGCTGATAAGGACAGAGTGAAGGGCCTATTGTGCCTAAAGTTCTTTTAACAACTGCTGGATCAAAATAAACCAGCTGGCACTTCTGGGTGAAGGCAATAAGGAGAATGGAAGAAATGAAGAGAAACTCACCTTGGAGTGGATACCAAGAGTATCCATTTGTAACACCATTAGGAAAGTTCATTTTGTTTTTACACTCGTCTCCTTTCTTCATGTTGGGATTTCTTGAAGCATAGGTATGTGCAAGATATTGAAAAACATCATCATCAGGCGTTAAGCTTCGGGAGTATAATGCCCCAGTTGCTGCATTTAAAAGATGAACCAAGACCTTTAAACTGACTTGAGAGTAAGAGGAAACACAAACACCATATTAGCAAAGACATAATCGCATCACACACACATGCTCTAATTTCCCTAGAGAGAAATCCTTCATCCACCTCCTCTATTCTTCTTTCTACTTTATAATAAACATATGCAAGGTGATAGCCCCCAAATAAGTCAGATACAAATCCAAACTCCTAAATCAGCTTAAAAATTAAGTGTCCTCTCAGTCACTCTTGCTAATTTCTGGAGGTAAGGACAATTTCTTTAGGTATTATAGGGGTGAATAAAGCTACTGTAATATTTTGGGTCCTCATCCCACAGAGTTTTAAGAAGAGTCAACAATTATTGTTCATATATGATTAGCAAAAAAAAAAGTGAGTTGTTCCAGTTTTATGTTATTTTAGCCATGTTGTCTCTTGTCAGAGAATCAAAATCTGACTATTTAGATTGTATTTTCTAGAATCTAAATTTCACTAATTCACTGATGCATGTCCAGCTGTGGGTTGTCAGTTCAGCCACACTGCCCATCTGCTGTTGAAGAATCACAGGAAGGATGGCTAGAGTTGGGAACATGAAGCTCTTTTCACCCTGCCAGAGAAGTTAAGAGGGGAAGGGAGAGCTGATCCCCATCCAGAGGCAGAGAGTTTTCAGCCCCACTCTGGACTTAAGAAGCCAGAACTGGACCCGCACCTGCTTACCTTGAACACCATTATCAAATGGGTAACTGGCCACGAGGGCACCACCATGGAGGTTTGCAGAGAGGACAAACGTCTCTGTTTTCAGCCACTTCATGACTGCCACAGTTTCAGGCTGCCTTGAGACATTATTATATTCAAAAGCATCGGGGAAATTTCGATTCAAGTCATACTGGTTATAATTTTCCCTTTAAAAGAAAGAATATTTTAGGGCTTATTGATAGGGCATGAGGGAGTGGATTCTTACAGTGTCTTGCCCTTTGGTTTAGGCTCCAGGTGTCTTTCCAAACGTGAGTATGGGTGTGGTGGATGGCTGCCCTTGTGGCCTGCCATGACCCACACCTGGCACTTACATCCCATGGCATCCCCTGCCTCGTGATCTGCTCTCACCAATGAGATACTAGCTATTGTGATGCAGGCAGAGGTTTGATAAGTGTTTGTATTTGGGACTTCTGCTCTTAGATGCTCCCTTTTGGGACCTTGAGATCCCAATGGTCGCCACGTGGAGAGTCCACGGAGAGTCCATGGCTCCAGGTAAATTGTCTCAGAAAGACCAGAGCTGAGCCCCAGACCTGTGGCACGGACAGTAGCCATCCCTGCTCTGCCCTGCCCAAATTCCTGACCTATGGAATCAACAGTAAATAAAAAGGCTGTTGCTTTAAGTCGCTAATTTTGGGGTGGTTCGTTAAGTAGCAACTGATAACAGAAACAACACTAAACACATTACACAGAAGTACTTGTGAAACGTGGAACAGCCATGTTTAAATATATTTGAAAAACTTAAAATTGGAGGGAATCAAGTGGTGAGATTTTGTTCAGCTTTGGTAAAGCAAACACATATATGTAAATTGCATACATATGAATGTATATTAGACATCTGAGAAATTCCAAACCTCCCAAGGCAGCTTGAAACAAAATAAACTGTTTAAATCAGAGCTCCTTCAAGACCCGTTCTTGCTTATGGTTAGTTCTTGGACTACTGGCCTAATAAATCAACCGGTCATTACCAAGGGCCTGGGTGCTCTGCCAGGCACTGCGGATCTAACAACGACAAACACAATGGACAGGATTCCTGCCTGCAGGTAGCTTGCAGTGTAGTGGGGGGAGAGACATGAAGCAAGAAATTAGATATTAAAAGTTGTGCTCTGACAGTAAAGTGCCAGGTGATGTGAGAGTTTATCAGGGGATCTAGTGTATGACAGGTCGAGAGAAAGAGTCTTGGAGGAAATGCTATTTAGGCAGGGAAACGGTGTGTGTAAAATGCTGAGGTAAGAAAGCACCTGGTACTTCCAGGAAGGAGGCCTAGAGGGGAGGAGGCAGGGGAGAGAGAAGGAGTGGCAAATGAAGATGGAGAGGCTAGGTGGGCACCGGGGCAAAGTAGCCTTATTTGCATTTCTTCCTGCAAGCCGGAGGCAGCCCTGATGTGCCTTGAGCTTTGGCACATCAGCGACATGACACCGGCTCTGAGGGCTCTCACCATGACACATCTCCTCTTGCCAAGGCCAACAGGTGCCTGTCGGGAGCCTTTGTGTTGTGTTGTTTTCAAGTAAAGATAGACCAGCCCCTCTTTACCTTCCGATGCTGTAATAACAGTCAGGCTTTTTGACGGCTTCAAATCCATCTGGGTTCATGGAAGGCATGATGTGTATCCGGGTACTATTGATCAGATTTGTGATTTCAGGGTCTTTGCCATCACTGGTTACGAGATAGTCAATCAGATGGAGCAGCAGCTCCCGCCCAACAGTCTATATGTGTTAAAGAGAAAAGAGGACATTATTAGGTCAGAGGCAATAAGGAAAGCACTCCCTACGGTACAAATTCCCCAATAGGGGTCTCTACACATGATATCTCAGACCCAAACTAGTTTGTAAGATCACTCTTTCTCAAGCATGCTTATGCTCTGCCAAGTGGCCATCAGGTGGCGATCAGTCCTGAGGTATGCTGAAAAATGCTAGTAAGAGTGAAAGTACCTATTTGTAAATAGTTTACATATTGCAAAAATGAATTAGAGTGGAATAATGCTGCTGCTGCTGCTGCTTCCTTTTTTTTTTTTTTTTTTTGAGACAGTCTCAACTCCGTCACCCAGGCTGGAGTGCATTGGCGCGATCTTGGCTCATTGCAACCTCCGCCTCCTGGGTTCAAGCGATTCTCTTGCCTCAGCTTCCTGAGTAGCTGGGATTACAGGCGTGTGCCACCACGCCCAGCTAATTCTTGTATTTTTAGTAGAGATGGGGTTTCACTATGTTGGCCAGGCTGGTCTTGAACTCCTAACCTCAAGTGATCCACCTGCCTCAGACACCCAAAGTGCTGGGATTACAGGCATGAGACACTGCGCCCGGCCGCAATAATGATTCTTACAACATTTTTCATTTGGTTGCCTTCCAAAGTATCTTCTGGAGTGGGAGAGCAAGAGGTTGAGTTACAGAGAAGCACAGGAATCACGTATTTCCATGAGAATGCATGGTGCATATGAAGCTTATCATGTATGTATTGGTGGATAACAGACTTAAAATCATCACATTGTAGATTTTTTTTTTTTTAAGACAGGGTCTTGCTATGTTGCTAAGGCTGGCTTCCAACTCCTGAGAAACTTCATATCATTATCACTTTTCTAGATATATATTTCTAATATATATTAAGTAAAAGCATGACTATTAAAATGTTAAAAGCTGTCATATCCACCTAAATTAGCTTGCAGTATCAATAAGGCTTGGGAAACTGAAGGCCTGTGAGAGAACTTGCTTTATAATCCCTCCCCAGGAGAGAGAGTCATTATTTTTCTTATTTAAAAAAAGTAATTTAAATGTCAGCCTTATCATAGGAAGATCTGCTTAGACTACATCAAATTCTCCCTATCATTTTAGGTTCAAGGAATCTGCTTCAGAAGAACAGATGTTGTTGAGGGGTTAGTAAATGAGAACTCAGGGGCAGCAGGTGAGAAAATCAGGAGAGTGCTGCAGGCACATTCATGTAGACACTGTGCAAGAAAAGATTTCATGGAGCCTCAGAAGAATTTCCAGTCATGATTTCACTGTAGGACTTCAACATTGTGACAAAGGATAAGCGGTCCTTGGATGACCACTTCTCACTTGATTCCCTCACTGGCACATAAAGAGACCACATTTTAAACATTTGTTATCCTAATGAACACAGAATAATTGAAATTGGGACTAAGAAAATTTGGGGCTGGTGGCAGTGGCTCATGCCTGTAATCTCAGCACTTTGGGAGGCTAAGGCGGAGCCCAGGAGTTTGAGACCAGCCTGGGCAATATAGCGAGATCCCATCACTACATAAAATAAGAAATTAGCCAGGCATGGTGACACAGACCTATGGCCCCAACTACTCAGGAGGCTGAGGTAGGAGGATCGCTTGTGCTGCCCAGGAGGTTGAGGCAGCAGTGAGAAGAGATCGCACCACTGCATTCCAGCATGGGTGACAGAGTGAGACCCTGTCTCAAAAAAAAAAAAAAAAAAGAAAGAAAGAAAATTTGGGATATATGAATTATAGATTCATAGGCAACCATAAAATTTAGAGTCAGATTATGTCCAATCCTGACTTCAACTTTTTTTCCTACTCATTTTTTATCTTCCTCTTCCACTACCTTTTTTTTTGAGACAGAGTCTCACTCTGTCACCCAGGCTAGAGTGCAGTGGCACCATGTTGGCTCACTACAACCTCCGTCTCCTGGATTCAAGCAATTCTCCTGCCTCACCCTCCCAAGTAGCTGAGATTACAGGTGCCCACCAGCATGTCTGGCTAATTTTGATATTTTTAGTAGAGACAGGGTTTCACCATGTTGGCCAGGCTGGTCTCGAACTCCTGACCTCAGGTGATCTGCCTGCCTCAGCCTCCCAAAGTGCCGGGATTACTGTGTGAGCCACCGCGCCCGGCCAGATTTTTGTTTTTATAGTCAAAATTGTCACTGGAAAAAGTCCTTACAAGCTAATAACCAAAAAAGTCACTTGTACACCCCACTGGGTTCCAATTTTAAGATATAATAGGTTTTTGAAGGTCCAGCACCTTTGGAAGTAACCTTGATGAGCTACTTATGACCTCCCCTAAAGCCAGTGGGGAGGAGCTGGTAACATAAAACTGTGACAGTAACTTTAAATGTGAAAAGGGGCTGGGCGTGGAGGCTTAAGCCTGTAATCCCAGCACTTTGGGAGGCCGAGGTGGGTGGATCACCCGAAGTCAGGAGTTTGAGACCAGCCTGGCCAACATGGTGAAACCCCATCTCTACTAAAAATACAAAAATTAGCTGGGCATGGTGGCAGGTGACTGTAATCCCCACTACTCAGGAGGCTCAGGCACAAGAATCGCTTGAACCTAGGAGGCGGAGGTTGCAATGAGCCGAGATCGCGCCACCAGCTTGGGTGACAGAGTGAGACACACCATCTCGAAAAAAAACCAAAAAAATGTGAAAAAGATCGTTGGTTTAAGAAGCTTTCTCAGAAGGGTTTGGGGAGGAATAGGTACAGGAAGGTGAGGAGGAAGTGACCAGGAGTCCCATAGTTCCTTAAATGTCTAAATGCTGGTTAGAGGCCATAGTATGGTTCAATCGGCAAAAATCCCTGGCCTATCTGAGTCCCAAGTCAAGAACAGAGAGGAAGTGATATCAGAATCCCCATGTGACTCTAAATGTGAATTTGTCTCTTAGCTATCTGAATCATACACTCTCCAGCATGCAAACAATCACGACACGAGTTGGCAATGAAATTCACCCAACCGAAAGAAAGTGAAAAGGAAGAGTAAAGAAACCATGATTAGGAGGCTAGGTTGAGTTGGTATTCTGTTAGATACAGAATTAGATTAAGCAGTCTTGGTAGTATGGGTATAGAACAAAATATAAAAGTTGAGGCCGGGCACGGTGGCTCATGCCTGTAATCCAAGCACTTTGGGAGGCTGAGGTGGGCAGATCACCTGAGGTCAGGAGTTGGAGACCAGCCTGGGCAACATGGTAAAACCTCGTCTCTACTAAAAATACAAAAATTAGCCGGGCATGGTGGTGGGCACCTGTAGTCCCAGCTACTCGGGAGGCTGAGGCAGGAGAATCGCTTGAACCTGGGAAGCAGAGGTTGCAGTGAGCCGAGATTGTGCCATTGCACTCCATCCAGCCTAGGCAACAGAGCAGGACTCCACCTCAAAAAAAAAAGAAGTTGAGGGAGAAATTTTCAAAGTGTTAATTACTTCACATTTCATAGTAAGGGGACATAAAATACTATCAAAAGTTAAAATATATACACATAAAATGACTACAATTTCAAAGTTTTTAATAATCTTTTTTCTTAACTTTAGAAAAATCTGATCATCAAGCTGGGCGCGGTGGCTCATTCCTATAATCCCAGCACTTTGGAAGGCTGAGGCAGGCAGATCGCCTGAGGTAGGGAGTTCGAGACGAGCCTGGCCAGCATGGTGAAACCCTGTCTCTACTAAAAACATAAAAATTAGCCAGGTGTAGTGGCAGGTGCCTGTAATCCCAGCTACTCGGGAGGCTGAGGCAGGAGAATCGCTTGAACCTGGGAGTTGGAGGTTGCAGTGAGCCGAGATTATACCACTGCACTCTAGCCTGGGCAACAGCGAGACTCTGTCTCAAAAAAAAAAAAAAAAGAAAGACAAATGTGATAATCAATTTCTTATTTTGAGAAAGCATCAATTTCACCAGTTATTTTAGTTTCACTTCAGTTTTATTCTTCTGTTAATTCAAATAAAATAAAATTTCATACAATATAACATATGAGACATTTTATTTTATATTCTTTTAATTCCTCTCATTCTCTTACTACAGAAATATATAGATGTCTACAATGATGTCTGACAAATATTAATGATGGCTATTTCTGGGTACAGTATTCTGAATGATTTTTATTTCCTCTTATTCTTTTTAAAGAAAACCTATGTCATTTTTACAAAAATAATAAAATCATGATTCTTTCAGGGAAACAAGTATGTAACCAAAGTATTTTTTGTGTGTCTCAATAGTCCACAACAAATCACAAGTTCTCAATTGCAAGGGTAAATAAAAATCTTGAAAATAAGATAAAGAACCAACTAAGCATCAGATAATTTTTTAAATGCTGAGATAAACAGATGAAATTTCAGAGGCAGTTAAACAAAATCCTCCTTTCTTTTTGGGCCATCTTTTCCTGCCTCTGTAACAGCAGATTTATGCCAAATATTATTCAAATTAATTCTTCCCAACCTTAATATAAATGTTTCAAACACTCATTCATGTTTTATGTATAAACCTCCCTTCATTGAAAATTAAGTCTTTGACAGGAAACCCTGGAGAGTCCAAATTTTAAAAAAGAATGTGGTCAAAAGAGTCTCCAATTGCCCAGGCAGCCTTTCACCCAGCATGCTGGCTTCCTTCCTGTGAGAGCACAGACTTCAGGGAGAAGCCCTCATGAAGAAACGGGGGCCTGATGGACACACCGGCCTCCGGAGACTCTCACTCCATCTCCTTCATCCGGTGGTTAAAATGGCAGTCACCCAGAAAGCAGAAAATACATTCTCTATCAGCTGCAGTTCAATTCAGTCAAGTTGGAATTTGCCACACAGATACAAATGAGTGTTCTGGTTCTTCACAGAATGTTTATTAAAAAAAACAGAAAAAAATTTTTGAAGGAACAATCTACAACCCAGGCAGTGTTGTGTGGTGTGTGTGTGTGTGCACGCGCATGCGTGTGTGTGTGTGTGTGTGTGTGTGTGAGAGAGAGAGAGAGAGAGAATCTTCAGCTATCCTAACAATGGAATCTGTTTTTGAAATGCTACCCTGTGATGCAGCTTCTGGGGGGAAAGTCATCGGGCTGTGGGGCTCCACAGTGGTGTGTGTGTTATAGATTTAAGTTATTTGTCTGACCTGCCTAGCTAATCCTTCTTCTTCAAATATCAGCCTAAACATGACATTTATCTAGCATACTTTTCTTGACCTCCCAAGTCTGGGTTCACCATGACACCTGTGTTATCTAATGCGGGTCACACACGTTACAATCACTTGGCTGACCTTGACTGACCTCCCTTTCTCTAACTCCACCATCGAAGCCCCGAAGTCAGGGACCTTCACGGTTTTTCTCTGTATCCCTGTGTTCTTGGTGTAGCTTGTCCAGCTCCTGGTATATCATGTATTCAATAAATAATTGCTAATAAACTACTGTTGAAAATTCATTATAAGATCAAGACTATCCTGAGGAAGAACTTTCTGAAATTCACATGAGGACTTAAGGTGCTTTGTAAGGGGAGATGTACAAATGATCAAGCTATTTTATCTGAAGGATTTTTAAATACCGAACACATTTTATAGAGGCACAGGCTAACAATTACGCTCATGACAGGGACTTGGGATATCTGGTCACCAAACAGTTCATTAATTTAAAACATGCTTAAAATGAATTAGATATTTCACCTGGAAAACAATGAGCTCTGCCTAAATCTAAAAAGAAAGAATTTAATTATTCAAACCACAGAGCGTTACTGAGGACATTTTACTATCACCTGAGGATAGTGGTAGGAAAAGGAGCTTGGGCAGCGGCATTTAGAAAGACAAGCTTTAATGTTGTGTTTTGGTTTAATGATAAGTTGGGAACCTCTACTGCATGTTGACTGTACTTCCCAGATTTTCCAGAACGGCCATAATTTCAGATATTGTGTCCCACTGTCTGCGTAAACCATTAAAATACCCCCTAAGTAAAACATTTAGACATGCAAACTACATCTCATCAACTGTCTCTTATACTTAGAAGGTGTGTGAAAGTCATTTATCCTTTATCTCTTTATTTTCAGGTTGACAAATATGGCCACTATTACCCAGGGAATGTTTTCTCTTTTCAACCTATATTTCTGGAATACAATAAACTATAAACCAATGCCACAATCATAAAATTCTAAATGTGATGCGAATTTTTCAAAAGTGAAACTGCCTTTGCAAAAATCATAACAGTGAGAAAATTATGGCAATGAAAGAGATCTGATGAAACCAACTCCATCTTGCGTCTAACCTTCAAGCTGTCCTTGTTCATTCCTGGGCATAGGCTAAACTAACATAGTTCATAGTTTAACTTTGAAACAAAGATGATAATAGCCTTTTCCTGAATGTAGGACTAACAAATTAGCCACAAGATTAGAAATTATGGCTTAGGAGTTATGCAGCCAGAGGCCACAAGATTCCAAGCCTCCCCAATTGCTCAGAGGGATAATATCACTATTGTAAAACCTAAGATATTTTTTAGACCCTGCACTGGATGGATCTGCTGGCACCACCCACATCGATAAACTGGCTCATCTGGTCTTGTGGCCCCCACCCAGGAACTGACTCAGCACAAGAGGACAGCTTTGACACCCTATGATTTCGTCTCCGACCTGACCAATCACCACTCCCCACTGTCTCTCCCCCAACCCACAAAATTATCCTTAAAAACTCCCAGTCTCTGAATTTTTGGGGAGACTGACTTGAGTAATAGTAAAACTCCGGTCTCCTGTTTAGTTGGCTTTGCATGAATTAAACTCTTTCTCTATCGCAATTCCCCTGTCTTGATAAATCTGCTCTATCTGGACAACAGGCAAAATGAACCTGTTGGGCAGTTACAAAAGCCCATATTAAGTCTATCTTAGTAAAAATACTTCATTGCTCTTTAAGAAACTAAGGCTTAAAAAAATTCCTACCCCCCATCTCCCCAAAAAAGCAGAATTGCAATTTAGGCTGGGCGCAATGGCTCAAGCCTGTAATCCCAACACTTTGGAAGGCCAAAGCCAGAGGATCGCTTGAGGCCAGGAGTTTGAGAACAGTCTGAGCAACACTGTGGGACCCCATCTCTACAAAAAATAAAAAACTTAGCCTGGTGTGGTGGCACACACCTCTAGACCTAGCTATGTGGGAGGCTGAGGCAGGAGGATTGCTTGGACCCAGGTGTTTGAGGTTACAGTGAGCCATGATCACACCAATGCATTCTAGCCTGCGTTACAGAGCGAGATCCCAACTCTAAAATAAAAAATAATTGCAATTTAGTTAAATTATTTTACAAGCATATTCAATAGTTACTCCTACAGTACAGTATTTAAGACCCTTGGCACTGAGGTCAAGGAAACCTGGGTTTGAACCCAGGCTCTGACCTATGATACTTTGCTTAATGTTACTAGGGTTGGCTTAAAACTCTAGGCATTCAATTCTTTTTTTAAGACAGGGTCTTGCTTTGTCACCCAGGCTGAAGTACAGTGGTGTGATCATGGCTCACTGCAGCCTCGACCTCCCAGGCTCAAGCAATCCTTCCACCTCAGCCTCCTGAGTAGCTGGGACCACAGGTATGCACCACCCCACCTAGCTAATTTTTAAATTTTTTTTTAGAGACAAGGTCTTACTATGTTTCTCAGGCTAGTCTTGAACTCCTGGCCTCAAGCAATCTCCCCAGCTTGACCTCCCAAAGTGATGGGATTATAAGTATGAGCCACCATGCCTGGCCTGGGCACCCAATTCTTTAAGCACACAGTCATGCCTTGCTTCAATATTTCCATTAGGCAGGAATTAAAGATGTCTTACCAACCTAGAGATTACCCAAGAAAAGTATTTTTTCTGCAAAATTTGAAAAACATGGGATAGAAGATAAGCACAAAACAAAGAGTAGGGAGGGCTGGGGAAGATTTTCCCAGGCTTCTCTTCTGCATCCACATTTAGGCTGAGGATGTTAGATGCTCCTGGTTTCAGGGCATGGTCCCAGTTTTCAGTATAGCTCTGATTTTAGAGTATTGGTTATAGTTTACTACACACCAAGCCAGGAGCAGAATGAGGTGATGGGGGAAGGTGAGGGGACAAGGATCCTGTTCCCAGGCAATCTGAATATCTGTAGCATACAGGAATGGCAGAGAACCCCATTCAGCCTGCACTGGCATCAACCCTTCCAATTAAAAAAAAAAGATTCAACTGTAGGTATGCCAAGTGATGCCAATTAGGAGCTTGCGTAAATTAAACCTAGAATTGAGGCTTCAATCCAACATGCCAATATGTGTGCAAATAATGTGTGTGCCTGGATGAACCAGAAAAACACCTACTAGTCTTATTAAAATGAGAAAGAACCCCAGAAATGTTTCTCCCATGCTGCTCCAAAAAATGAATAAACATCGGTGACAAAGGCTCACCACGAGTGCTATGTCTGTCAGCTCCCCAGCAGTCAAGGAGAGAGAAGTGAAGAGTAGGGGAAAGAAAGGGACAGGTAGGTGACTGGAAGATACTTATTCCAGTGTTGCCCTCCAAGAGCTTGTTACTCTTTTACATAACAGCAAGCCCAAATCCTCTCACCAAATGGTGCTGCAACAACTTAGTATCCATCCCAGTGAAATTAATTTGAGATAGATCATAGATCTATACTTAAGAATGAAAACCATAAAACAGAACATTTTAAAAACAGAGAAGAGAGAGTAAAGGAGTGGATCCACAGCTGGGCAAAGCTTGGTGTTCAGGCTCCGGGTTCCCACAGCTGGTGACCAAGCATAAACCTGGGCCCCCTTCATGGTACATGGGACTAATAAACATGCCTTCTGCAGAGGTGATCCAAAGAAACGAGGCCTAAAATGCACTTATTGTCATCTGTGCTCCATAAATGTTAGCTATTGTTATTATTTTCTTGTAAAGCACTGTTTGAGGAGGCAACTTGCCAGCCTGATTAATGTGGCATAGTGAGCCTGTGCCATAGAAAGCATGTGAGACAATGGAAGGTCACTGAAGACAAGAAAAATATCTACAGTATGAGCCATGATCCTAGTAGAACAATGACCTTTGCAAGAATAAGAGAATACGTGAAATTCATGCAAAATGAGGAGTGAGTTTAACTTTACTTATTTTGTAACAATACTTGGCTGAAAATGGGCCATTTTAAGTTGATTTTGCTACCCGGAGTTTGCTTTTGGCATTCCTGAGTGTAGCCAGGTGAATTAGCCTGAACCCTCAGCATCAATCAAATGAACCTATCGTCACAACTCCTAAGATGTGTATTAGCCACATTAAATTCAACAAACCTTTAGATTTAATTTCCAGTTTGAAGTAAAGTCAGGGACTAGAGGTACAACTGCAGTGATACTATAAAGAAGCAAACCAAAAATCCAGAATATGTGGCATTCTACAGGGCAGACAACTGATTGGGCTCTTTATCAAGCCTAGTATCATAATAAAAAGATACTGGATTAAATGAGATCCAAGAGATCCAACATATCCACTAAATGCGATGCATGAGCCAGGACTGGATCCTGATTTGGGTAATTTTAGAGACATTTGAGGACAATTGGAGAAACTAGAAAGTGGGGGATAAGATAAAGATAGGATAAAGATTTATTGGTACAAAAAGGTAGCTAGTATTTACTTAAAAGTGTTGCAAATAGCATATCTCTTTTGGTAAAAGTACATGCACACACAAATATCTGGAAAAACAAATAAGAAATTAAGAGCACTAATTTTGGGAAGGTCAGTATATAATGTTTTGTTTATACTTTTTCTAACATGAACATATGTTGATTTTGTAATAATTTTTTTTTCTTTTTTTTTTTTTGAGACAGTCTCACTCTGTCGCCCAGGCTGGAGTGCAGTGGCATGATCTTGGCTCACTGCAACCTCTGCCTTCTGGGTTCAAGTGATTCTCCTGCCTTAGCCTACCAAGTAGCTGGGATTACAGGCACCCACAACTGCACCCAGCTAATTTTTTGTATTTTTAGTAGAGATGGGGTTTCACCATGTTGGCCAGGCTGGTCTTGAACTCCTAAACTCAGGTGATCCACCCACCTCAGCCTCCCAAAATGCTGGGATTACAGGCGTGAGCCACCACGCCCGGCCTGCTTTTTTTTTTTTTTTTTTTTTTAACATTTATTTTAAAAATAAATGTTACAAGTGCAGATTGGTTCTATAGGTAAATGTTACAAGTGCAGGGGTACAAGTGCAGATTGGTTCTATAGGTAAATTGTGTGTTGTGGGGATTTGGTGTATGGATTATTTCATCACCCAGTTAATAAGCATAGTATCTAACAGGTAGGTTTTTATCCTCACCATCCTCCCACCCTCCATCCTCAAGTAGATGCTGGTAGCTATTGTTCCCTTCTTTGTGCCCATGTGTATCCAATGTTTAGTTCCCACTTATAAGTGAGAACATGTGGTTTTTGATTTTCTGTTTAGTTTGCTTATAGATCTTGTTCTATAAGCAAGTGCATGATCTTGTTCTTTTTTCATGGCTGCATAGTATTCCACGATGTATATGTACCATGTTTTCTTTACCCAGTCTACCATTGGTGGGCATCTAGACTAACCCTATGTCTTTGCTATTGTGAATAGCGCTGCAATGAACATACGTGTGAATGTGTCTTTATGGCAGACCAATTTATATTCCTTTGGGTATATATTGGGATTGCTGGGTTGAATCGTAGTTCTGTTTCAAGTTCTTTGAGAAATCACCACACTGCTTTCCACAGTGGATGAACTAATTTACATTCTCACCAGCAGTGTGTAAGTGATCCTTTTTCTCTGCAGCCTCATCAGCATCTGTTATTTTTTGACTTTTTATTAATAGCCATTCTGACTGGTATGAGATGATATCTCATTGTGGTTTTTGATTTGCATTTCTCTGATCATTAGTGTTGTTAGACACTTTTTCATATGCTTTTTGGCCACCAGACAATTTCTAATTTAAAAAAAGACCCAATTCTAAAACAAGGCATAAATAAGTAAAATAAAAATACATGGGGGAAAATGGCAGGTGTAATCAGCAGAGCTGAGTCTCCCTGATGCAGCTGATGCTTCCTGTCATCTAGCCATAGTATTAAGTGTGGAAACACACACACAAACACACACACACGCACAGTGGGGGTGGGGTCCCATTTTAAAAATAGTGTGGCCAATTCTGTCCACCCTGCCACTCAGTGTGTATGTGTTCCCTGCTGGGATTCTCCACCTAAGGTCCATAAACTCCTAGGTAATCCACAGACCCTGAAGTCAGGTCAAATTTATAACAGAATAGCAAGGAATACACCAAAAAAGGTTAAGAATCACTGCCCTAAAATGTTAGCTCTGTTGCTTCTTAAAAATGCTTTCAATTTCAAAAGATCTATGGGAGGAAAAAGGGGGTTGTTATATCCTGTATTCAGAAGGACTTCTCTGCTCCAATGTTAAGCCATCACTTTCTTCAGCTCCTAGCGGCATGGGGAGGACAGAATAGATAAGGTCTCAAATTCAGAATAATAAATTTCTTACTAGCCCCATAGAGCCCCCAGACATTGCCACGAGCTGGGTCACATAAGGGGGTAAAAGTGCTTCAGATTCCCACCCCAAAATACACTGGGACTTTTCCCCGCTGCCTAGTCTCAGCCCTCAGCATTTCTCAAAGAATCAGAGCGCACTAGCGAGCCCTGATTTGAACGATACACCAGACAACAAGATGCCAGAAATTTAGGAAAGTGCATGGAAAGAATAAACAAATTCGGGGGTAGGGGACGGAAAGGACTCTTGCTTATCTTTGGGAGTTTCAGTTCTGAGGACTAATTTCTGAGTAGATAGCTGGAACCTCTGAAATGCCAGCAATAAAAAAACTACTAAAGACAATGAATGCCATATGTCTCTTGTTACAAATGCATTCTGAGTCAGGCGCGGTGGCTCACACCTGTAATCCCAGCACTTTGGGAGGCTGAGGCGGGCGGATCACCTGAGGTCAGGGGTTCGAGACCAGCTTGGCCAAAATGGTGAAACCCCCATCTCTACTAAAAAAAAAAAAAAATACAAAAAAAAATTAGCTGGGCATAGTGGTGCATGCCTGTAGTCCCAACTACTCAGGAGGCGGAGGCAGGAGAATTGCTTGAACCTTGTAGGCGGAGGTTGCAGTGAGCCGAGATCATGCCATTGCACTCCAGCCTGGGAGACAAGAGCGAAATTCCATCGGAAAAAAAAAAAAAAAAAAAAAAGCATTCTGAGGGACCTTGATCAAGGGACCTCGATCAATAGACAAGATAGCAAAAGGGAAACGCAGTCTGAGCTGCTGTCTATAACGAACAGTTGTTTTATTAAAACTAACTTTGGTCAGACTCCTTGCAACGTAGTCTTTTTTAAAGAAGCCGCCCGTGATGCTCAAAAAGTCACAGATGGGCTAAACTTGCACCCACCCCAAAATCGGGTTCAAAAACTTATTCCTTTGCTAGGGGCAGGTGCTTGCATCTTAGCTGCAGCTGCAAGAAGTATCCTCTCTCAGCAGGACAGGTTGGGCAGCATGCCTGGCAAGGGCAGGCGGAGTGTACCATGAAGGGTAGATCCAGTTCCTATAGAGTTTGGGGAGGGCTTAAGCCAGAACAGGAAGCTCAGCACTGATTAGAGCATGCCACCCATACTATTGCAAATCCAGAAGTGTTTTAACAAGTCAGCAGGTAGTACTTATTGGAATATGTATGTAAATGAGAAAGTCCCTAAAGTTATAAGTTGTGTTTTACAGGGTAATACCCACATTCCTGTGCAAAGTTTCCTTACTGGGATGGCTGGGGACTCTTTGATCGCTCAGTTTTATAGAGTCCTGGTAAACAGAAAATATTTCAGTTGTCATGGTCTCAAAATATTCTGAGGAAGCAAGGTGAGAAACAGAGGTGAACATCTTCAACTGCCTGGCAAGAATGGCTGGGTAGGTAACAGTGGTAAATGGTATTTTGTAGAACCTAAAAATAAAAGGAGAGTTTATCCCTGCTAAGTTGGAAAAGAGGCAAGATATTATTAAGGAATTTAAAATTGTGTTTTGTTTTGTTTTTTTAGATGGAGTCTCACTGTGTCGCCTAGGCTGGAGAGCAGTGGCACGATCTTGGCTCACTGCAGCCTCCACCTCCTGGGTTCAAGCAATTCTCCTGCCTCAGCCTCCCGACTAGCTGAGATTACAGGTATGCGCCACCACACCTGGCTAATTTTTTGCATTTTTAGTAGAGACAAGGTTTCACCATGTTGGCCAGGCTGGTCTTGAACTACTGACCTCAAGTGATCTACCTGCCTTGGCCTCCCAAATTGCTGGGATTATAGGTGTGAGCCACTGCACCCAGCCAAGTGTTTGTTGAATGGTGAGTAGGAGAGAATCATAAGTGTGATTGTCTAAACTGGAGCACTGAAGACAATGAGTGTTAGATTTAAGAGAGAGTAACAAAAGCATTTGAAAAGCCAGATCTCAGGAATTTGGGTAGCTATTTGGGAGTTTCTGATGGTTGTGGGTTCGGATACAATACAGCTCCTTTGCTGGGTCACCTTCATGCTGACCAGGAGGTGGGAAAACTTAACCCAGAAAGGAGATGCAGGGATTGGCTGGCAGAAGTTCAGGGCTGGGGAACTGTTGTTCTTCCGGCCCCAAACACAAAACAAGCTCCAGCTACTCTGACAGGGTGCTGGGTACACAACCATACAGCTGTGGTGGTTGTTGGACCCTGATTCCTTAACCTCCCACAGGCCTCACAGGAAGACCTCTCTGGGCCTTGCTTCTTTGTACAATGCATGCTGGAGACTTCTCCAGGCTTCCTCGGTAGCATTTATACAGAGCTCAAGAGACCCTAGGGGAAGCTTCTCTGGTGACATTTCAGAAATTCAAGCCACATACGTACCTCATCTCCATGCATATTTGCCACGTATTTGAACTCTGGAATCCCAATTCTGTGTTCCTTTGGAAACCGCCCCACAACAAGAACCCACAGGTTTCTACCTTTACAGGAAAAGAAGAAAAGATGGAAAAGTAAGTTGTCTCTTAAAATGACAAATGAACTCTGGTAAGACTAGGAAACAGGATGCTGCTTCCCCCACTTGATCGCCTGTTTCATGGTGACTTAAGTTTGTATGACTAACATCTCCATGCTTAAAACACTCATCGTTTACCGTCAGAATTTATGGAAACCCTTTCAATTCAGCACAAATATTTCACTTATTATTTTAGAATGTGATTTTTAAAAGCTGAAGACTTATTAGGCGATGTAGATCTTACTCTTCTAAAATGTGTATATACATTACCCTGAGATCCTGGAGCCTTTGAGATCCTGGAGCCTCCTAGGATCTTGCTAATTCACACAATTATATAAAGTTAAATTATAGTTGATGGTTGACTGGGAGGGTGTCATAACTCGCAGTACAAGGAAAGAAAAAAAAACAACAGCAATAAAAGTAACTCAGGGCCAGGCACGGTGGCTCACGCCTGTAATCCCAGCACTCTAGGAGGCCGAGGCGGGCAGATCACGAGGTCAGGAGATCGAGACCATCCTGGCTAACACAGTGAAATCCCGTCTCTACTAAATATACAAAAAATTAGCCGGGCGTGGTGGCGGGCGCCTGTAGTCCCAGCTACTCGGGAGGCTGAGGCAGGAGAATGGTGTGAACCCCGGAGGCGGAGCTTGCAGTGAGCCAAGATCGCGCCACTGCATTCCAGCCCTGGCGACAGAGCGAGACTCCGTCTCAAAAATAAATAAATAAATAAATAAAATTTAAAAAGAGTAACTCAGAAGGGAGATTGTTTTTAAAGCAGGAGATCCTGAATTCTGTATTTAAATGCTGATGTGACACAGCCCCTTGGGAGCATCCTTGATATGTGTGAGTCCTGTCAGGTGAACTGGGAACCACAACCCAAAGAAAGCGTCTAAGTCTTAGCTCTGTGTGATCTGGGCAAGAAAGGGCAGAGACAAAAGCTCACTGAGGATTTGCTTTGTGCAGATATTATGTGTGCTGCTCTGGCTCAGGTAATCTCAAGTAATCCCTTGTTGTGACCCACTGAGACGGATTATTAACCAAACTTTACAAATGAAAAAACTGATCTTCAAAAATATTAAGTAAAGGGCTTATGATCACACTGCCGATCAGAGGCTGTGATTTGAGCCCCTGAGCCAAGAACTGAACTCTGGTCTATTTGACTTCAATTCTAGTGCTCCTCCCACTAACAAAAACTGCTTGTCTCTTAAGAGGCTTGGTTTCCTAACCAGTAAAAATGACGAAGTCCCTTTCAATTTTAAAATTGTCTGGCACTTTTAATACAGTTTACCTTAGAGATGTGGGTATGTTTGATATCCGTCATGTATGTACAAAGTTTAAATATCTGTAATAATTAAGCCTCTGTGGAATTTAAGAGCCCAGGAGAGGAATTTCACAGCAACCAATGGGCAAATGTTGAGCAGGTTTCTGCAGAAGTTCAGATCTAGCTCTTTAAATCAGGAGTCCCACAGACTGGGGAGCATGCAGTTGCCATCAGGGACTCAGGGAACAGCAGATACTGGGCTTGTTATTTTCAACATTTATTCATAATTTATTATAACAATATTTTATGGAAATTTGTCATAAGGTGATGCTTTAAATTTAACTGCAGGAGTTCTCAGAAAACACCCACAAAATGCAGTTTATATGATTTATGTACCCTGTTCAGTGCAGAATTCTTATTCATACATCTATTTAATGAATACTACTATATCCAGGCACTGAACCTGGGTCAGATTGCACAAATAAGCCACATGCTCTATGCCCAATGAATTTCTGATCTATTGGATAATAGTAACACACAAGCATATACTAGAGTGTGACATATGATAGATGTGTGTGTAGTGTACTGTTGTGGGCATAGAATAAAAAAAGAAATTTTTTCCAAGGAGGGGGCTGATGAAAAAGCCTTACAGATGCAGGGTTTTATAGATGATGCCTCTACACAAGGTTCTGAAGAGTGATTCCGAGTTTGCCATGTGGACAAGTACACTACATGTGGTGATTCCCCATCAGAAGCATTTGATTAACCAATTTCATTAACCTTCCATTCCCCAACCCTGTCAATTCTTTGTTGTCTGGAGCTTTACTTCTACAAAGTTACCATTTTCATATGAAACAAGGAACTTTTCATGAGTGAGCTGTTATACCTGGCTTTTAAAGTTTGTTTCTGAGGAATTCTTTTGTGTTAACTAATTATACAGAATATGATCTAGTTCTCTTACAAGCAAGGACAAAATTTCAGTGTCATCTCAATATAATATTTATCAATAGTTATTTATAACTATGCATCTGCAAGCTGGCCTATTACATAAAAGATAATGTAAGATGACATAAACCTGACTTGATATGGATATCCAATATTATTTAAAGAAGGAGGGAAATCACACTGATAAAAATCTAAGTGAAGAAGTACTTTGATGAGTAACTCAGTCTCAATTTTAGCATAAGTGGTCCCTAAGTGAACTGCAAGATAAGAATCTTACCTTGAACAACCTCAGTGACACAGTCTGAGAATGAAAACCAACCAACAGACCTGAAGAAAACTATTCTTTGGAATGACAGGCCTCTTGAAGGGTTTTAACTGCCCTCTCCAGCTTACTGGCTATCTCTGGCCTAGACCAGAGCAAATGCACAAAGGACAAACTATTTACTTTTCACAACCTGACTGTCAGGTAAGTAAAAGTAATCTAAACAAGGTTTTGTTTTTGTTTTTGTTTTAAATCAAGGTTAGAAAGACCACCTTTATTCCCAAAAGTTCCTGCTATAACAGGTGTTCTAAAGAGTTCTGAAGTACTCAGCCACTCTCTCTCCACCACAAAGTAAATGAAGTTTGGATTCCAGAGATTTCAGTATTTATATTCAGCAACTCACACAGGGTTTAACACAAATTCTGGGGCTGTGACATGGGTGCATAACTAGGTTTGGTTGGAGGATCAGGAAAAGTTTTACAATTTAGAAGCATTTGCTAAGATCTCTAAGACAAGAAAGCAGACAAGTGCTACAAAATACTACAGGACTTCAGGAGAAAGAAGAAGGAGAAGCTTGGAAAATTAAGTATAGCTTCAACAGGCAGAAATAGGTGAGGTGTCTTTCCCACATCAGAGGCACCTGGGATCCTTGTAAAAGTGCCAATTCCTGAGCCCCAGTCTCAGTCAAACTCTTGGGGTAAAGCGTGAAACTGGCATTTAACAAGTTCCTTTGGTGATTGGGAGGCTCATTAAAGTTTGAAAGTTGCTGAGACTGAGGTAGGAAAATGTCCAGACAGACTTGAGAGGTAGTTGATATTTAGGTACACTCATTTCATTTTATACATAATCGTGAACATGTTTATATGTTAAGAAGTATACTTCTAATCCACCTTTTTAAATGGCTGATTAATATTTTATTATATGAATGCACTACCATTTATTCAATCAATTCTCTATTGTTAGGTGTCCAATGATAAGGAATTTTATGTAAATTATAGCATGTTCACTAAAATTACGTACAGAATTTATAACATTAAAATATTTTATAGTATGGAAAAAGAATGCAAAATTATATAATTACAACCATGTAAAACAGACTTTCTATTAAAAACCTATAGCTTCGTAGCATATAAAGCCTTAAATTAAATAATGGATGAGGCCAGGTGTGGTGGCTCATGCCTGTAATCCCAGCACTTTGGGAGGCTGAGGTGGGAGGATTACTTGAGGCCAGGAGTTTGAGACCAGCTTGGGCAACACAGTGTGATGCCATCTCTACAAAAACTTTAAAAATTAGCTGGGTGTGGTGGCATGTGTCTGTAATCCTAGCTACGCGGTATAAGATTCTCCCCGGGGCCTGAAAGCTTAAGGAGATGAATAACTCCTCCCTTCTCAGGCCCAGTCCCAAGGCGCAAGTCCACTTGTGTCAGCAGCGTGTGTCAGCAAGATAGCAGAAGCAGGAAGAGAGCCGGCAGGAAGACACCTACCCTGGACGAAGACATGTACCCCTGATCGAGAAACAGGCCACCTGGGTACAACATAGCAGTTACGTCAGACTAGGACACTTCCTGTTTACAAGAGACTATAAAACCTCTGCCCTGTCCTCACTTGGGGCTGATGCCATTTTAGGCTTCAGCCTGCCTGTACCCAGGTGCTCATTAAAACAGCATGTTGCTTCACACCGCCTCGTGTTTTCTGTTGGCGCGCTCTCAGGGTTCCAACCAATACAAGAACCTTACACTCAGGAGACTGAGGTGCAAGGATCCCTTGATCCCAGGAGTTTGAGGTTACAGTGAATTATGATTGTGCCACTGCACTCCAGCCTGGGACACAGCAAGACCTGTCTCTTAAAAAATTAATAATAATGAATGCATCCCTACAGGATTGAAAATGGCACACTGTCAGGGATAAGAGGCTAAATGATAGGATGATAAAGCTGAGTAATTATTTTCACCTTTCCATCTTTCCAGTTTTTTTAATTTAAAAAAAAAAAAACCAAACCCTATCATTCATTAAGTGCAGATACTATGTGCCAGGCACTCTGCTAAGCACTTTATGTTATTTGATCTTCACACCTGTGAGGTGTGTGATAGCCACAATGCATAGTTGAGGAAACTTAAGTGGCAGAAACAGGGTTCAAATCCAAGTCTGTCTGATTCCAAAGATCTGTGCTCTTCTGAGGATCTAAGGCTGCCTCAATGTCCCTGAAAGTACTAGACAGGCCAAAGCCAACCCCACTCTGGGGAAAAAGTCCCCAGGCAGTTCTTTCAGCAGCATGCTGCTACGGTTTGCTCCTGGAGCAAGACTGGGCTTTCTTCCTGGCTATGACTGATTACAGAACAAGACAACTGAATCCGAGGCCACCCCACCGGGACATTCCACATTGGGTGTTAATGTCACAACTCCATCAGACTATCTCTATGTGGAGAGTCTCAATGGGACATGCCTAGGGAGAAGCAGAGACCTTGGGTGGCCCAGTCATTGGGACAAAGCTGCAGTGATGTGAAGCACATTCCAGTTTTTCGTGAGGCTTGTTGTGTGTTTGGTCTGATACATAAAGTTCTGGTACACAGAGTAATAGATCAGCTGGTTTCCCAGGCTTGGATGTTTCTCTGTGTGTATCCTTACAAGTCACCTCTGACCTAAGTCCAAGCTTGAGAGAGTTTCCTCAATGAACTGAGTTTCAGTTTCTTCCACGTAAGTGGGAATAACAGCCCTACTGGCAAGGCTGCACTGTAGTGTGAGTTCCTTTTATCTTCCCTAACAACGATCCAAAGATCTGACATCAATTTCACGTATGCACATTCCCACTATACCCCACACACAAGAAGTTTATCACATATGGCACGCAAAGCCCACATTGAATAATGAGTGAATCCACAGAAGAGTTGAAAATCACATATTATTTAGGTCAGTTTAAACACTCATTCTCCAAAGTTCACACGCCCTCTGTATTTGAAGGAGAGGAAGAGGTACCTGGCTAAGTGGTTTATTACAAACAAAACAAATGGAGGTTAACAAACAAAACAGAGACAAAAGGCATGGGCGAAGTTTCCAGACTAGCTATGCTTGCATTTTATTATTCACAGCTCAAAGCATTTTACGTATATTCACTCATTTAACCCTAATAGCCACAAGTGGTAGGTATAGGGTTATCCTTTCACACACAAGTCAACAGTCTTTGGAAACTTCATAAGGCAGAGGTTCTCAAAGTGTGGTCATGGTACCAAGAGTATCAGTATCACCTGGGAACTAGTTAGAACTGCACATCCTTGTGTTCCATCCTGGATGTGCTGAATGAGAAACTCTGGGGTTGGGGAGCAGTAATCTGTGTTGTTTTGTTTTTTTGGGTTTTTTTTTGAGGCAGAGTCTCGCTTTGTTGTTTTGTCCCCCAGGCTGGAGTGCATTAGAGTAATCGCGGCTCACTGCAGCCTCCACTTCCTGGGTTCAAACGACTCTCATGTCTCAGTCTCCAGAGTAGCTGGGACTACAGATGTGTGCCACCACGGCCAACTCATGTTTGTATTTTTAGTAGAGATGGGGTTTAGCCATGTTGGCCAGGCTGGTCTCGAACTCCTGACCTCAAGTGATCTGCCCACCTTGGCCTCCCAAAGTGCTGGGATTACAGGCGTGAGCCACTTCACGCGGCTGGAAATCTACGTTTTAATAAGCTCTCCAGGTGATTCCCAGTCACCTGAAAGCTTAAGAACCACTGTAACAAAGGACAAGACTGGGTAGTCTATCCGTGGAGTCCCTGCTCTGTTCTTAACCACTATGCTGTACTGCTAATCACCTCAGAGATGGAAAATGGAAAACATCAAAGAAAAAACATCAAAGAAAAACAAAAGAAACGTGAACGTGTGAAGCAAGCTTGCTGTGTACTGGCTTCTGTTGTTGAGGTTATTGTCTGTCTCCCCTCTGGGGAGAACTGGAAATGGAAGGAGGGAGTCGAGGGGCACAATGAGGATGGTTTGAGAAGTGATGGCTATTGTTTGCTGCCTTGGTTTTATTTGATTAGCTGGTACATCCCAAATTGCTCTCCATTTAAGGACTACAGGTGAGCCTTAGTCACTCTGCCCCAGAGCTGTGGAATGTGGAGTAGCTGCACTTCTGGGATCAGGCTGCTAGGTGTTCTCCCTGCACTCAGTTTGAATGCTAGTCAGCAAATAGGCTAAGAAAGTAGGGTAGGTAGGCCGGGCGTGGTGGCTCACACCTGTAATCCCAGCACTTTGGGAGGCCAAGGCAGGCGGATCACCTGAGGTTGGGAGTTTGAGACCAGCCTGCCTAACATCGCGAAACCCTGTCTCTACTAAAAATACAAAATTAGCTGGGCGTGGTGGTACATGCCTGTAATCCCAGCTATTCGGGAGGCTGAGGCTGAAGAATCCCTTGAACCCAGGAGGCGGAGGTTGCACCATTGCACTTCAGCCTGGGCAACAAAAGCAAAACTCGTCTCAAAACAAACAAAAAAACAAACCGAAAAGAAAGTAGGGTAAGCACGTTCTCACTCATAAGTGGGAGTTCAACAATGAGAACACATGGACACAGGGAGGGGAACATCACACACCTGGGCCTGTTGGAGGGTTGGGGGCAAGGGGAGGGAGAGCATTAGGACAAATACCTAATGCATGCAGGGCTTAAAACCTAGATGACAGGTTGATAAGGTGCAGCAAACCACCATGGCACATGTATACCTATGTAACGAACCTGCATGCTCTGCACACGTATCCCAGAACTTAAATTAAAAAAAAACAAAAACTGACAAAAAAAAAAAAAGACAGTAGGGTGGCTGGACTGGCAAGGGAAGGAAAGACGTGGACAAAATCCATTTGTACCATACACACCCTGTCTCTGGGACACACACCTTTTTTCATGGCAAACCACCTGGCATGCACTGCGATTTCTGTAGAGTTTCAGGTTTGGGCCAGTCCACATGAACACCCAGTCTGTTTCTGAACTCGCAAAGCTGAGAGCCTGTACAGATGTGATGCCCTCTAGCCTGCCCCAGGTCAGCCACAGGATCCCAATGAAGCTTAACTGTCATATTCTGTGTAGTGGGCTGGGAATTCCTGACTTTGTTTATGGACAGGGGAACCTGTCAAGGAAGGGTCTCAGGGAGTCAGGTGTCCCAGGGGTCTTGTGCTGCTGTGATAAGAGTAAGTGCTCTATTCTGCTCTGAAGTAATGAAGGGGCTGGGCTATTTCTTCTGCCTAGGTCAATTCTAAAGTCTACTTAGAGCCATGAGTTTTGCAGTTCAGTTTAATATGGGAATGAGAGGAACACAGAAGGCTTCCCTGTTTAGGCTTCCCAAAATGGAATGAGAAATAGGCAGGCATTTGACTCCAACTTCTGCTGCACTGGAATTTCCCGTTGCACAGATTCTGGTGTGGGGTCTAAAATGAGGCCACCTGCTGTGTTAGTATAACCCTGGGCCTTGTTGAGGTTGTGGAACTCAGTGGTCCCCAGGGGTTCTGCGTGGATCTGGGAACCATGTCCCCTGCACTTTTCTCTCTGGCCAACCTCTTTGGGCCCAGCATTCCTGGCTCTTCTAACTGATTGCCTGGACAAGGAAGCTTTACTCAGTGGAGTATGCTAACCCTGCAATGGCACTCTGAGGGTAGGGTGTGGAGCGCTGGTTGTTACCAGGGACTACCTCATGCTCACCAGTCTTCACAGCTGTCTTGTCCTCCACCCCACCCCTTGGCTGCACCACCACCACCACTGCCACCATATACACCCTAGTCACTCTCTAATCCTGTGTCATCTTTCTTCACAACTTTTTCACTCTTTGAGATTGTATATTTGTTTATCTATATACTATCTGTCTCACCAAAATGTAACCCACAAGGGCACTGCCTGGTGTGTTCACCATTTTGTTTAGGTTGCTGGTTTTGTTCACTGCTAACCTAACGGTGCCTGGCGCACTGTAGGTTTCAATTAGTATCTACTGTAACATTTCAAAAATTATTGGTGTATCTCCAGGACTGCGTTTTCTTGATAAATATTGGCACATAACATCCAGAGTCTTCCCTCGGTGTTCAGGGTCCTCCATCACCTGCCCTCCACCCGAATTTCCCACTACCTGCTAACACAAATGCGCCCACAGGAGGCAGGTTCCTTTCTGCACCCTAGTACCCTAGGCACAGCCCCACCTTATTTACATTGTTTTAGCTTAAAATGGCTTCATTGGATTTTCTGCCTTTTAAAATCCTCTGAATTCCACAAAATCCTGGTTCTAAGAAGTTTCCCCAGGCTGCTCTGACTCACCTGGGTTTTTCTCTCTTCAGAATATTTCTATAAAGTGGCATCCTAAGATTTGTCACTGTGAAGCATTCTGCCTTGAAGTTAGTTTTCTAAGGGTGTCACGGCCAGGTGTGGTGGCTCATGCCTGTAATCCCAGCACTTTGGAAGACTGAGGAGGGCAGATCACTTGTGGTCAGGAGTTTGAGACCAGCCTGGCTAACACAGTGAAACTGTCACCACTAAAAATACAAAAATTAGCTGGGCATGGTGGTGCGTGTAATCCCAGCTACTTGGGAGGCTGAGGCATGAGAATCACTTGAACCTGGGAAGTGGAGGTTGCAGTAAGCCGAGATCGCACCGCTGCACTCCAGCCTGGGTGACAGAGCGAGACTCAGTCTCAAAAAAAAAAAAAAAAAAAAAAGTTTCATGTGGCCAAGTCTTGATTTCATAAAAATATTGTCATATTTTCCTTTTGCTCCCCTGCTGTGTCTACCAGGTAAATCATGGCCATTCCCTAAGGCCCAGGTCATCTTCTTAGTAAAGACCTCAGTGGTGGGTTGTATTATTGGTTGCCCAACATCTGGTGCCCTAATGAACTCAGGCATATCATGTGACCTGCTCTGGCCAGTGAAATGTGGGCAGAAATGGTAATGTACCACTTCTGGGCAGAGCTTTAAGGGCTGATGCATGATTTGCCATCTCCTTTCCCTCTGACATAAGACAGGCAATGATTGGATAGAGGGTGCTCTGTCAGCTTCGGTCCTGGAGGGAAGGTGACAGGGAGCAGAGTCACAACTGTTCAATAATGGACATATGAGTGACATCTAAATCTTTATTTTTCTGTTATAAGCCATAGCAATTTGTGGGTCTTCTATTTCTGCAGTACAGTCCAGCCCTTTTCATATGACACTGCTTCCATAACCAACCCAAACCAAAATGACTTTCCCTCTAGTGAGTGTTCATTATACTTATTGCTGATACCTGTGCTTTTTCAGATAGGGGTTCCCAGAACCATAAAATTTTGTGGAGGTGGCCCAGAAGTAAAGAAATCTTAGAAAATGTGTTTTAGGCCAGACACAGTGGCTCACGCCTGTAATCCCAGCACTTTGGGAGGCCGAGGCAGGTGGATCATTTGAGGTCAGGAGTTCTCTGCAAAAAGTACAAAAATTAGCTGGGTGTGGTGGTGTGCCATGAATACACTCATTTCTATTTCTGACATCACTTTCATGCTTTGACAAAATGAAGTCCAAATGAAAACATGTTGTTGAGTAAACTTTCCTTTGTTTGGGTGATTGATCATATGTGAACTGGATCCCATGGCTCTAACTGCTTTTCCTTCAATGACTCCCCATGGCATTGAGATGGCACCTGATCCCCTCAGCATGCACACCAGACCTCTTGGGATCTGTCTTCTTCCTGCCTTGGGTTTCCCACCCCAATCCCATACACCAGGCCCTAGCCATTCTTCTTTATGTGTAGTTCCCAAAGGAGGTAACTCCCTGCCTTGACACCTTTAATACCTGCTCTTTCTTCTGCATGGATAGTCCTTAGCCCACCCCATCAAAGCGGCCAACCTCCCCTTGCCTTTTCAAGGCTCAGCTAAAAGCCTCCTGCCATCCAACACCTTCCTGATCCTTCTGCTCAGCCCCATCCCCTACCACCCTAAGTTAGATGCTTCCTTTGAACTTTCATAGATAGTACCCCTGCAACCCCTCTCCTATCATTTATTGAAACCAAAGGTTTTCCTGCAAGCAAGGGATTTTGTATCTCTGTGCTTGCAAAATCTGGTGTAGTGTCTGGCATATACATAGCAAATGATTGATAAATGTTTGCTGAGTGAATGGATGATTGGATAAATTAACAAACAAACCTGAGGAAGCTCACTTGGAGTCCGAGTCACCTTTGGTCCGGGGATTAGATGAAACTGTTTTCCAGTATTGATGGAAAAGTCCATAGTTAGTCTATGAGGTGCCATCCTGGGTGGGCTCTGGAAAGAACCCAGTTTTCTAGATCAAATCAAGAGTCAATGCACCTTCTTGGAATATTTCCATGCAAGAAAGTGCCAAGATCCAAACCAAATGTCTGGTTTCAAGTTAGATTCTTCCAACATTATGGGGAGATAGAGTTGCATTTGCTTACATGTTCATCCCCATAGTATTAAAGTTTTGATATTATACCCAAGAAATGTAGATGTTAGGTTCCATTTCATTTCTTCCTGAATAGGTGAATGGGGAGGTTTGGGAATTTCAGTTCCTAAATTAGGGACAGTTACGTTTTTAATTGAAAAAAAAAAATAGAGGAAAAATCTGAAGCTGCATTGGGTTGCAATAAATTTTCTTTTTTTTCTTCAAGACAGTCAAGACTCCCAGAGAAACAGAACAGCTTGTCTCATTAATCACTAACCATCAACAAAAAACAGGAAGACGGTAGGAAATTCCTCTGCCTTTCTCCTCTTGCAACCCCACCTTCTCTATTCCTCCCACTCCATTCCCAGGTCAGAGACTCATAAACCTGTCCTGCTTCCTCTAAACATTTAAATTTTTAACCTATAAATTATAAGACATTTTTAAGAATGGAGTTTTAAAAACTGGACATAATTATCATGCCCCAATCATTATAATTCTTCCATGTTCCCCTTTAGGTTTTTTTTTTTTTTTCCTCCATATAGCTACAGGAAACTTGTTTTTAAATCCCCAAAGTGAAAACCTCTAGGGACCTCATACTATAAAAAGCTGAGAACTTCCCTTTTTGGTCCCTTGAGGAAGAGGTCAAACATAACCAGATCATCTTTTTGAAGGACAATTCAGCTGTACTAAGAGCGAGATCGAGCATTACCTTAAAGTACAAATGAATACTTAAAGAGATTTCTTGGCCAAGGTGGGCAGATCACAAGGTCAGGAGTTCCAGAGCAGCCTGGCCAATATGGGGAAACCTCGTCTCTACTAAAGTTACAAAAAATTAGCCGGGCGTGGTGGTGTGTGCCTGTAATCCCAGCTACTCAGGAGGCTTGGGCAGGAGAATCGCTTGAACCCGGGAAGCAGAGGTTGCAGTGAGTGGAGATCGTGCCATTGCACTCCAGTCTGGGTGACAGAGCGAGACTCCGTTTCAAAAAAAAAAAAAAAAAAAGGCACAATCATTACAACTAGCACTATACAGTTATTGTCCATTTGAGGTTTCTTTTTTTACAGTATGTCATGGACATTCCGGTTCAGTGTTGAGGTTTTGTTTCTTGCTGCCCTATTGGTCTCACTCCGTCAGCCAGGCAGGAATGCAGTGGTGCAATCATGGCTCACTATAGCCTTGACCTCCCAGGGCTCAAGTCAGCCACCTCAGCCTCCTGAGTATCTGGGACTACAAGCATGGACCACTACGCCTGGCTAATTTGTGTATTTTTTTTTTTTTTTTGTAGAGATGGGGTTTTGCCATGCTGTCTAGGCTGGTCTTGAAATCCTGAGCTCAAGCAATCCACCCACCTCAGCCTCCCAAGATGTTAGGATTACGGGCATGAGCCACTGTGCCTGGCCTGGTGTTCTTATTTGTTATGAGTGCCTGCAGGTGTCACAGAGCTGTAATTTAAGAAGAGGTTAATTCAGACCCCTTTTGACCCCAGAAAAGACAGTTTGTTGGAGGTCTGCACAGCCCTATTGTCTATTTATTGCTACCATAAGAACTCATCCTTTAGTGGCAAGGAATAATGGCAATTAATTTACTAGTTTCCCCATAAGCTACTGTGGAGAAGAAAGGCTTTTCTTTCAGTCATCCTACTTCCTGAGTTTTACCCTAAAAAGCTCTCATTCTAAAGTGAAGCAAGTGAGAGTCCAGAGTGAAGGATGCTTAGCTCCCAATAGCAGGAGAGGCCTTGAAGTTACCAAAATTAGGTTCCCTAACCGGAACATTTGGTGGATTAACAAAGGTGGACTACTTCTCACTAGTATCACTGTTTTGAGATTTAAATCTCAAAAATAGATCAGTAGTTTAGTAAAGACATCAAAACCAGCATTGAGCAGCACGTCACCTGCCTGAACACAGCATGTGAGATGAGATGATATACAGTATCCTCTTCAGGGCATCTGACATAATGATGAAATGTGCAGGTTCCAGAATCAAAGTGTCAGAGCTAAAACCCAGCTCTGTCACTTACTAGCCATGTGGTATTGGGCAAATTGCTTAATCCCTCTAAATGAATCAGTTTCCTCATCCATATTATGGGATTAACGGTACTTACCCTCATGGGGTTGTTGTGCTATCTCATTTAATTCTTACAAGCTTTAAAAATAGTGCCAGAAACATTGTAAGCACGTGTTTGTTTGAGGGCCTCAGGTGTACAAATTGGCTGATGACAAACTACTGGCCCTAGCAGATGATGTAGTATCAGACCAATTAAAGACAAATTTTCAATATAAACAGTGTACATAACATAGGGATAGACTGCCAATTTGTTATGCCAAGAGACAGCAGAAATGTATGTGCCAGAAGATCTGCACATCAGGTCAAATAGACTACCACTCACTGAAGTTAAAAAGAAAACTGGAGTGTGGATTCAGAAAGTGGAAGGGGCTATTTTGAGAGAACATGTCCTTCAAAATGTATTAGCACAAAAACTGTCACAAACATTCACACCACCAAGCATCAGGTAAATTACTTTTTCAACTCCAAGGACTGAATCTCATTCAGAATTCCCAGGCCCTAACAGCAGAGGACAGTGCTGAACTGGGAAGCCGCATGTTGCCATGAGGGCAGGGCAGAAAGCCAAGTCACCTCTGTTAACTGTGTTGAATCATTAACCATAAACACATTTTTCACAACATTTTCTTTCATGGCCTGTTCTCAAAATTATTGAGGACATCGTGTAGATTTTGACTATCTCAATGTTAATGAGCCTGGAAAGCATGTTAAGAATTTCCAGTCTGGTGCTGTCATGGAGAGACTCCAACTCATCACTGTAAGAGGGCAAGCCAAGAGCTTGTAGACAAGGAAATGGTTCATTAGGAATCAACCAATGACATAAAATTGGTTCAATATGAATCGGTCAATGCCAAAAAAAGGCAGGGGAACTGTCCTAGATTGTGAGACTGTAGACGATGGGTGAGCCTTGCTTGATTTGATTCTGGGAACTACTGGAGAACTTTAAAAATGCAGTATGTTGTTGGATATTACTGAGTTATTATTTTTAGTTTAATAATGATGTGTCATGATTAGGCAGTAAGAAGTCATGCTTAGGAGATGCATATTGGTGTTTTTTGGGATGATGTGACATGCCATTTATCACTTCTAATGGTTCAGTAAAATCAACAGATGGAGCTCATGAGAGAGATAAAGCAAATGTGGCAAAATATTAACAACTGGTGGATGTATATGAATAATGTGTGAGTGCTTATTTTACTATTTTTGTATTTTTTTCTATAGGACTGAAAATTTTCTAAATAAAAAGCTGGAGGGATCAAGAGAATGAAAAGGTAAGCCACAGACTTGGAGAAAATGTTTGCAAAAGACATGTCTGATGAAAGAGTTATCCAAAATACAGAAAGAATTCTGAAAACCCAACAATAAGAAAATAAACAACTCAATTAAAAAATGGACAAAAGATGGAAACAGCAGGCATTTCACCAAAGAAGATAAACAGAGGGCAAATAAGCATATGAAAAGATGTCATCATATGTCACATCATATGTCATCAGGGAAAGGCAAATTAAAACAACAATGAGATATCAATGCATTCCTATTAGAATGGCAAAAATTCAGAACACTGACAACACCAAATACTGGCGAGGATGTGGAGCAACAGGAACTCTCATTCATTGCTGGTGGGAATGCAAAATGGCCAATTTGGAAAGCAGTTTGCAAGTGTCTTACAAAACTAAACCTACTCTTGCCATATGATCCAGCAAACAAGCTCCTTGTTATTTAACAAAATAAACTGAAAACTTACGTCCATATAAAAATTATACAGCTATTTACATTTTTATTTATCATTGCCAAAACTTGAAAGGAACCAAGAGGTCCTTCAGTAGGTGAGGGGATAAATAACCTGTGGTACACTCAGACAATGGAATACGAGTCAGTGTTGAAAAGAAATGATCTATCAAGCCATGAAGATACATGGAGGAAACTTAAATGCATATTACTAAGTAAAAGAAGCCAATCTGAAAAGGCTATACTATATGAGTCCAAGCATATGACATTTTGAAACAGGCGAAATTATGGAGACAATAAAAAGATCAGTGGTTGCCAAAGGCTAGTGAGGAGGGAAGGATGAAAAGATGGCACATAGGGTATTTAGGGCAGTGAAACTCCTCTGTATGATACTACAATGTCATTATACATTTGTCCAAACCCCTACTTCAGTGTAGGTTTATTAGTTGTAACAAATGTACCACTCTGGTGGGGGATATTGATCATGGGAGAGGCTATGCGCGTGTGGGGATAGGGACAAGGGGTATGTGGGAAATCTCTGTACCTTCCTCTCAATTTTGCTTTAGATAATTTTGCTTTTGGGTACTGGTTCTTGGGTTTTAAGTAAATATTTATATTTGTATTGACTTTGCCACAGTAGGTACAGCAAATTTGCTCTAAAACTGCTCTAAGAAAATAAAGTCTTAAAAAAAAGCTGGTGAGGAGGGAAAGGTTTGAAAAAGGTAAAGGTAAGAAACTATGCCCCCATGCACCGGCTCCTGCGGCTTGTAAGGGTGGGATTTAGGAGCCAGAGAGGTCAGGTTGTTCACCTGAAAGGTGAGGCCACCTGGAGGGAGAATGGAAGCCCCAAGGTGAGGAATTCACAGTCTGCTTCTCTCTGATGAAAACACAGAGCTATACTAACCATATTAGAAAGGGGTTAAGAAATTAGTATGTAAACTCTCCAAAACCTGGTCAAGCACATTAGCTTTATTAAACCTCTCTATTTGGAAAAAAAATCATGTGAAAATTTTTATTACAACTAGCAAAAGCTACACAAATAGTTTAAAATCATACGATTTATGGGATCATTGAGACTTCTGGTCACTCAGTCATTAATCTAGCAAAGGCCAAGTGATTAACATAAGAATAAGCAGTCAGTAAAGTTTGAGTGTTGGGCAAGTTTAATCATAACCTCCATGTCTTCCTCAGGATTGGACTTTGGATGGAGTGAAGGGGAAGGAAAATAAATGTTCGGACTTATTCAGTCTCAATTAGATCACCACTCACTTCCTTCAGTCTCTGGGTAGAACAGAGCAAGTAGCAGAAGTATTACAGGAGAAGAAGGGGAGAGAGGAGAGAGAAGGGGAGAGGGGAGGGGATGGCACAGGAGCTGGGAAGGAGAGTATCAGAAAGAGGCACCTCTGTGTCACCCAGCCTGGGAATGCCAACTGAGGAGCTCTACTTTACTTAATATGCATCAATGCAGGACCAAACCTTTGTTGCTTTAAGAATCCTTTCAATTTATCCTTTAACGAAATCATAACACATACTTGATAAATGAGAAGCTACATGACAATCACTCAACCTCTTTCCAAGGAGAGGTAAATATGAGCTTTGTTTACCTTTTTGTTTCTATTCATTTTTAAGACAGCCAAGAAGAATATGAGCATACTATCATTCTACATAATTTAAACCATGAGTGGTACTAATTAATTTCTGTAGCAAGGTACCATGTGAAATTTGCTGTACCTGCTGTTGCAAAGTCAACACAAATATAAGTATTTTACTTTAAAAAACTCCCAAGAACTAGTACCCAAGTATTCCACACACTGAAATACCATGCCTCAAGAAATTATCAACAGATTTCTTCAGCTTATCAAAGCACTTGGCAATGATGCTCTGAGCAGACCCACTAACAATGATCACTAATTGAGGGGCATAATAAGGGGATCTGCTTTAGAAATCTCTATTGGTTTCGGACTTTTCCAGTGTTTCACTGAGATTTGGGGTATTAGGATAGCAGAGGGGTGGCATATTTAAGTGATGTCATAATCATGGAATCAGAGGAAAAACTCAAGGATTTCGGGAAATCATACCTGCTTAAAATACAGATATTTTACATAATTTCCAAAGTGCTTTATCATTTAATCCTCAACAGAAACACCATGAGATAAGTAAGGCAGGTATTATTATCCTCATTTTACAAATGACGAGATGGGCTCAGACAGCCTGGGCTTTGAACTGTGTTTTCGTTTGTTTTACTCTAAGGTTAATGTTCCTCCAAAGTAAAACAGACCTTCTTCTATTACTACCTCAGAGGCAACTGATGTTTACCTTTTTTAGAATAAAGAACTTGAGACATCTCACTTCCCAAATAAAGTAAGAGCTTCATCTCCCATGTCCCTCTCCCCACTCTACAAAAGTGACAAAAAGTCACTATTAACAAGTTGCTTCTCCAATAGATGAGCATTATTTAGACTCATCAATGAGAAGATGCTTTCTGGAAGTTGTAAGTTTATTTTCTTTTGTATCTATAAGAGCTCTGAGACATTAACTGCCTACAATGTTATTGTTAACAAACGTTGTTAACAAAGTCAATGTTACCTGCAAGTAGGCCTACATGCTCACAAAGAAACTTGAACCTATTTTGGGAATTGCTAAATTTCTCAAGCTGTGCATTTACAGTCGGCTGATCACATGTTTTTTCCTGAGCTGAAGACAGTAGCTTTAAAAAAGCCATCTTTCTCTTTTTTTCCCCCTTTGGAACTATTGAAGTCTCAGTCAATAATGTCCTCTCATACCCGTAAACTGTAGCTTATGTTCAATATATCCAAAGGACCAACACTGAATGTTAAGGCTCTGAACTGTCTGTCAGAGTAGGCCCAAGATTACATGGGCACCGCCACTGAACATTTTCAGGTCAGAAAATCTCCCAAACCCAACTCTTTGGCTTCGACAAACTGTATAATTAACTTGCATCTCAGATCAGCTCCTACCTTAAAATGTAAGTTGAGAAATGCCCATTTCAGAAGCAGCATGAGGAAATGAAGGTGTTAATAAGCCATTTGAGTTTACCCGTTCATTAAAGCACATCTTATCTTGATCTTAGTTTGTGTATTTTAAATTAATAATTTATGCTCTGCCAGTTTCACAAAGGACATGAGGCACATTGCTCACTGGCAAACTGTTCTCAAGAAAGAGTGGGCCAGGTGCCATATTCAGAGGCCTAGAACGGATTTCGTGCACATAAATATACAAGTCAGGCCTCCCTCCCTCTGTCTCTCCTTCCCTCTGTCCGTCCCGCCGTCCGTCCCTCCGTCCCTCCCTCCCTTCTTCCCTCCCTCCCTTTCTCTCATTCTTTCTTTCTTTCTTTCTTTCTTTTGACTGGGTCTTGCTCTGTTGCCCAGGCTGGAATGCAGTGGTGTGAACGTGGCTCACTGCAGCCTGGAACTCCTGGGCTCAGGTGATCCTCCCGCCTTGCCCTCCCATGTAGCTGGGACCACAGGCATGCGCCACTATACCTGGCTAATGTTTTGTAGAGATGGGGGTCTCACTTTGTTGCCCAGGCTGGTCCTAAACTCCTGGTTTCAAGTGATCCCACCGCCTTGGCCCCTGAAAGCACTGGGATTACAGGTGTGAACCACCATGCTTGGCAAGTCAGGTCTCTTGAAAGGAATCTACTTTTCCATAGGCTATGGCACAGAAACCTTGGTAGAAAGTCCAAATAATTACAAGAAGCCATTCCAGAGACACTCTTGACTATAACAGATACCGTCTCATAATGGACTGATGTATCCCTAGCTCATCTCAAGTCTGCTGGGACAATCACAACTCTGTGCCCATCATTTGCAGTACATAGTGGCCAGTCCTTTCTGATAATGTGCATCTATTTACCTCAAATGAGATTAAGAAATTGGTAGACATGGACCTTACTGAAGTTACTTCATTTTACCACAGAGTCAAATGGTTGGGCTTCAGGATGAGGCAGATTCTTAGGGGAAGATGGCAACAAGATTCGCCAAGGTTTTCACATTGCTCAATACATCAGCAATGCTGAGCAACAGAATTGCTAATACCTTCAGACATGCCCAACTACCATTCAGAATTAGATGAGCTCTTGAAGACCAACCATGAGGGTACTGTTCAAGCCACTCTCTCCATTTAACACACAGAGAGGTGGGCACAAGATCACACAACAGAGACCCGTGAGAAAGCAGAAGGCAGTCTGAACCACAGCCTGGCATGTGGGTGGAAGGGGAAGAAGAGAGAGAGGAGGATCCTCATAGTGATTCAGTCATACATGAATGACTCCTATCTAATGAACAGAAACCTAAGTAGAATAGAGCCAGGTCTGGCATTTTTAAACTGTGCATTAAAATACAGAAAAGTGGTTTTTTTGGGGGGATGGAGTTTCATTCTTGTCGCTCACGCTGGAGTGCAATGGTGTGATCTCGGCTCACTGCAACCTCCACCTCCCGGATTCAAGCAATTCTCCTGCCTCAGCCTCCCGAGTAGCTGGAATTACATGCATGCACCACCACGCCTGGCTAATGTTTGCATTTTTAGTAGAGATGGGGGTTTCACCATGTTGGCCAGGCTGGTCTTGAACTCCTGACCTCAGGTGATCCACCCGCCTCAGCCTCCCAAGGTGCTAGGATTACAGGCGTGAACTACCATACCCGGCCAAAATATAGAAACATTTTAAAACATCTCTCATGATACGCATGAGAAGGATTCAGAGAAATCTTTTTTTTTCTCTCTCTCTCTCTTTTTTTAAACAGGGTCTCACTCTGTCACCCAGACTATAGTGCAGTGGTGTGATCTCAGCTCACCACTGCCTCCACCTCCTGGGCTCAAAGAATCCTCCCACATCAGCCTCCTGAGTAGCTGGGACTGCAGGCACATACCACCATACCCAGCTAATTTTTGTACTTTTTGTAAAGACAGGGTCTTGCTATGTTGCCCAGGCTGGTCTTGAACTCCTGGGCTCAAGTGATCCACTCGCCTCACCCTCCCAAAATGCTAGGATTCCAAGCATGAGCCACTGTACCTGGCCAACAGAAATCTTGTTGTAGGTATTTTATATAGTCTTTTTACATTTTTGTGCATTAAAAAAAATCATGGATACATGTAAGATATAGCCTTGTTTCTTGGTGAGTAGGTCTACGCAAACCTACCCACAAAGGCAGAGGGAACTAAGAGGCTTAAGAAAGAGGCTGATAAATCCAGTTCTTCAGAAAAAATATTTAATAGGGACTTACAAATAGAAGCGATGTCTTGGGCTGCTCCAGAAAGTGAGTCCCTGTGTCCACCCACCAGAAATGATCCTTTATATAGCAAGTGTTTAGAGTAAAGACAGCTGGTCATGTCTCAGATCCTCCTGGGGAACACTGGTGACCACTGGGGAAGTCAGATAAGCATGTTTATGAGGGGTTATCTGTGCTACAGGCATTGTTTCTTGGCCTTGCTGCAAGAACACCTTGGCATGCAGGACTCAAGCATCGGTCATCGTGGTGGTTTCGCTTCAAGATGGTGTTACCCTTGCAGTGCACCAGGCTGTTTTCCTACCATCCCAATGTGTGAGCCTAGTCATTCTCAAGTCATTCTTTTGCTCTACTTATAGAGTCCTATTGATGCCCAGTATTAAGCACATCAACAGCAGACCAGGTCTGCAGCTTTGCTATGTTCTTACAGGTATATCTTCAGATGACCTGCAGCAGAATTACCTGAGGTATTTGTAAAAAACTGCAAACTCCTGGGCCCCATCCAGAACAGGAATCTTGAGGCGTGAGTTCAGGAGTCTGCATTTTTCACAAATACCTCAGCTGACTCTAATTCACGCCATTAAGAAAAAACTCTTCAGTGAAATAACAATATACATAGAATACTGTACATTGAATCCAGTACAATGAATACATGGAATACAATATGCAGAGAAAGCTATATGCTGAAGAGCTCACTGTAGATTTTGTTTTTTTTTTGAGAGACAAAGTCTCACTCTGTCACCCAGGCTGGAGTGTAGTGGCACGATCTTGGTTCACCGCAGCCTCTGCCTCCTGGGTTCAAGTGATTCTCATGCCTCAGCCTCCCGAGTACCTGGGATTACAGGTATCCGCCATCACACCTGGCTAATTGTTTTGTATTTTTAGTAGAGACGGGTTTTCACCAAGCTGGTCTTGAACTCCTGACTTCAAATGATCCGCCCGCCTCAGCCTCCCAAAGTGCTGGGATTACAGGCGCCACTGTGGATTTTCATAAACTAAACACACATTTGTGTAGACAGCAGCCTCAAAGCACCCTTGTGCCTATTTCCAGGCACTGTCCCCTGTGGTGCATCCATGCATACTGTTGTATAAATGTAAATCATTCATTATCAGGACTGCATAGTATTCCGTCAGGGAATGGGAACCAAATTAAGAACCCTGGCTTCCAGAATTAAGCCTAAACAGAGCTAATCCCTGCATGAACACATCACATCTTATACCTGAAGGCACGCTTCTCCATTTTTGACCCCATGGCTAAAGTTTGCCAGGAACTATAGAGCTCACACTGTGACTGAGGTCAGAGGGCTGGGTGAGAGTGCTGCTTGCACCAGAGCAGTGGCTCTGTTGTTCGATTTTAAAGAGGCTCCTTCTAGCATGGTCTGATAACCAGTAAGGTGTCATATCTTTTCCTGACACAGGTTTTTCAACCCTGCCTCATGAAGGCTCATCAGAGTATAATTCTTTCCTGAACACTGCAGTTGCTGAAATAGCCAATTTGGAGGGCACATTATTAGGGTGATTCTGCGAACCTGGAGCTAGACAACTTGAGTCCAAATCCCAATGCCACCACTGCCTGTGGGACTATGGGCAACTTATTTAACTCTCTGGAGCCTCAGTTTCCTCATGTGTAAAAGGAGGCTTATAATAGTACCTCATAGGGTTGTCAGAAGCAGTGAAGGAGCACTTAGAACAACATGCACAGTAGGCAAACACATGTGTTTGATAGATGCATTGGAACTTCTGAACTCATGAGTGCAACACAGACACTAAAGGGGTCATATGGTTTTAATGACAAGGGAAGAAAGGAAGTGCAGTGATTTGGGGTAGGTTAGCCCAGCGGCTCCCACTCCACCTGCCTTTAAAGAATCATCTACAGAAGGCTTGCACATTTGTACCCATATTTCTGCCACACAACATTCTTTTTCCAGAATCTAAAAAGTGTTAATTAACATGCCTACATGTAGTCATCCACTTTTGCTAACCTTTGCTAGCCAGAATGAAAATTCATCATTAATCCAGGGCTGGGTTGGTTATTTATTTATTTATTTATTTATTTTTGAGATGGAGTCTCACTCTGTTGCCCAAGCTGGAGTGCAGTGGTACGATCTGGGCTCATTGCAATCTCCGCCTCCCGGATTTAAGTGATTCTCCTGCTTCAGCTTCCCAAGTAGCTGGGATTACAGGCTCCCGCCACCACACCTGACTAATTTTTGTATTTTTAGTAGAGACGAGGTTTCACCATGTTGGCCAGGCTGGTCATGAACTCCTGACAGGTGATTCCCCTGCCTCGGCCTCCCAAAGTACTGGGAATACAGGCGTAAGCCACCACACCGGCTTGGGTTATTTTTAAATGGACTATTATCTCAAACTCATTTTTGTACCAGATGAGGGATTAAAAATTCCATTACAAGTAGAAACACTGAAGAATCCCTTCTCTGATTCATTCTGGCTGGTCTTCTAGTTCTTGCAAAGCTGTGACATTTCATGTATTTTATGTATTTCCTAAGGTGCTGTAGGTACCAGGATACAAGGCCAACCCGGGGCTACTCTTTCTGCTGTGTCTCTACCTACAGCCATTATGACCTGAATCTACTCCACAGGACACAGCTTTTTTTTTTTTTTTCTCATCACTTTCTCTTTTCTCTGGAGGTATCTGCTAAAATTGCAAACTCCTGGGCCCACCCAGAATGGACATCCACTTTCTGAGTGTCTCTTCAAACTCCTCTTGGCTCTTTCTGCTTACCAAAGTCATACATACTTTTTAAAAATTTGAGTGCTCAAAAATATATATTGTCAGACATGAAATCTATCTACATACCACTCGATTCCCAAAAATAGATTCCAGATGGAGTTAGGTGCTAAACATAAAAACTAAAACCATAAAAATATTGAAAAGGGTATAGAATATATTTATGACCTTGGGGGAAAGAGGGCCTTTTTAAGTGAGGCATGGAACATAAAAGCATAAAGAAAAGGACTGACGAATACGATCTCATAAAAATTAAAAACTTCTGTAAGGCCAAAGATACTGAAAATGGAGCTCAAAAGACAAGCCACAGAAGAGGTGAAAATATTTGCCACACACATAACAAAGCATGAATAAATAGAAAAACAGGCAAATGGCATGAGGAAATAGAAATGACCAATAGAGTTTAACAGAAGTTCCACAGGGGCAGGGGTTTGTGTTTGTTCATCTGGGGCAGTACCTCAATGTTTATCTAATGTTGAATTAATGTGAAAACATGTTCATTCTGATTTTCAATCATGTAAATGCTACTAATTATTAAGTAGAGATAGGTTCTCGCTCTGTCACCCAGGCTATAGTTCAGTGGTGGGACCATGGCCCTGGGTTCAAGCAATCATCCAGCCTCGGTGTCCTGGGTAGCTGGAATGACAGGAATGCACCATCATGCCTGGCTAGTTTTTAAAAAAATTTTCGTTAGAGATGGGATCTTGCTATGTTGCCCAGGCTAGTCTTGAACTCCTGGCCCTGGCCTCAAACAATCCTCCCATCTTGACCTCCTAAGTCTCTGGAACTGTAGGTGTGTACCACCATGCTCAGTGAAAATGCAACTTAAAATGGAGATTTTTTTTTTCACCCATTAGAATGGAAAAAAATTAGTGTTGGTTAGGATGTGGGGAAATACACATACTCACGTGGGGCTGGGAGTGTAAATAATACATCCTCTTGTAGGTTAATCTGTCAGTATCCATCAAGCACAAAAATGCATATACCTTTTATGCACACATATGTTTATTGCAGCACTATTCACAATAGCAAAGACTTGGAACCAACCCAAATGTCCATCAATGATAGACTGGATTAAGAAAATGTGGCACATATACACCATGGAATACTATTCAGCCATAAAAAGGATGAGTTCATGTCCTTTGCAGGGACATGGATGAAGCTGGAAACCATCATTCTCAGCAAACTATCAGAATATCAGAAAATCAAACACTGCATGTTCTCACTCATAAGTAGGAGTTGAACAACGAGAACACATGGACACAGGGAGGGAAACATCACACACTGGGGCCTGTTGGGGGGTGGGGGGGCTACGGGAGGGATAACATTAGGAGAAATACCTAATGTAGGTGACGGGTTGATGGGTGCAGCAAACCACCATGGCACATGTATACCTATGTAACAAACCTGCACATTCTGCACATGTAACCCAGAACTTAAAAGTATAATAATAATAATAATAATGAAGAAGAAGAAGAAGAGGAAGAAGAGGAGGAAGAAGAGCATCATCAATGAAAGAAAGAAACTTGAGGAAAAAAATGCATGTACTTTTTGATTTAGTAGTGCCTATCTTGGGAAATTATGGAGCTAATGTGCTTGTTTAACAGTATTTATTGCAGCATTCTTCGAAATATCTAAAAGTTATAAATGACCTAAAGACTCATCAATATGGAAATGACTAAATAAACTAAGATAAGATTATACCACAGAATAGTTTGAAACAGTTAAAAAAATGAGGTATCTCTATATGTACTAACCTCTAACATAACACACATAAGTGAAAAAGCCAAGTTGCATAATGACATTTACAAGAGTGTTACTCATAAGACAAAACTGTAGACGTGTGTATACAGCATATGGAAATGCACATCAACTTTTTTTTTACTTCACAATATATTCTGGACATCCTCCCATGTCAAAACATATAAATCTACCTAATTCTTTAATAAAGGTTGTAAAATACTCCATTGACTGGGTTTGGCATAATCTGACCAATTCTCTATGGATAAATGTATGGGTTTTAAAAAATATCTTTATTGAGACATAATTTGCATACTATACAATCCACTCAGTTTAAGTATACAAGTCACTAGTTTCTTAAACTATTATTTTTTTAAAATATGGCAAAACACATATAACAAAATTTGTTATTTAACCATTCTAAGTGTACAACTCAGTGGCATTAACTAGATGACTGTATCATTTCATTTTTTTACTATTATAAGAAATGCTACAAATACAATGCTGTATATCCTCATATATACTTTGTGCAAATGATTCTATAAGATAGAAAGCTCTCATCTGTGATGGCCCAATGATAAAGAGTGATAAAAATGGGTTGGTCTTTTTCCTAAGATAACTACATTATCGTTAAACATGATTTTTAAACCTGTAAAAGACACGGAGGAATTTCCCAAGCAAATTTAGAAGATGAAAAAAAAATACCTTGTTTTTCTCTGTTCATTCACATTGTCGAGTATATAACTATAAGCTAATTAAAGTGAAGGATGATTTGCTATACGGCATCTGGGCATAAATATGCTAGATGTCAATATATTATTTGGTATCTGACTTTAACCTGAGTCTTTTTGGCCAAACATACCACAAGCAGTTGGATCTTATACAGAAAGACACGGCTTCAATGTTAGTTCAGGTTTCCTAATCTGGACCTCAGAGTCTCTTTGGAGAGTGACCTCTGGCAATTCATTTAATCCTAGGGCCTCAGGTTCCTTTTCTATAAAATAGAGGGTCTGTCCAGGATGCTATAACTTGTATGGCCCAGGTCCCAAAGTGTGCTGGCAGGAACAAGGTCAGCCCAAACTGCAGCTGCGGCTGGAGCCAAGCTCTCTAGACTTGAAGCTTCAGTCCTGAATCTACCAGGTACTTGCTTTGTGGCCTTGGGCAAGTTACTTAACCACTGGCAAGTCAGTATCTAAAGCTGTAAATTGGTATTTACCTCATAGGGTGTTGTGTAGATTCATTGAGATACAGCAGGAACATTGCCTAGCCCTGTGCCTGACATCAAAGATGCCCTCAATAAACAGTAGTTTGAGGGTTTTAAACACAAAGCATATGGCAGGGCCACGCTTCAAGGCTGCCAAATATCACAATTTATGTAACTGCAGTAAGAGTAGCATATATTTCCATAGCACTTATGTGCCAATCATATTCTGAGCACTTTATGTTTATTAACTTATTTAGCCCTCTCGACAACCTACGAGGTAGAACTATTATTTCTATTTTACAAAATAGGAACTAGGCACAGATAGGGTAAGACAGTAGTTCAAGATCACAGCCACTGAACAGCAGAACCAGGATTTGAACCCAGGCAATCTGTGTTCTTCGGGCTCTGTGTTCTCAACCATTATTAAACAGTCTTATTATAGTGTTACAGCTCTTTTAAAATTTGTCTAATAGGCTTTCTGGTTTTTGCTGGAAAGCCCCCCAAAGGGAAAAAAATAAGTTGTATTATTATTATTATTATTTTGAGACAGAGTTTCGCGCTTGTTGCCTAGGCTGGAGTGCAATACCACGATCTCAGCTCACTGCAACCTCTACCTCCTGGGTTCAAGCAATTCTCCTGCCTCAGCCTCCCAAGTAGCTGGGATTACAGGCATGCGCCAACACACTCGGCTAATTTTGTATTTTTAGTAGAGACGGGGCTTCACCATTTTGGCCAGGCTGGTCGAACTCCTGACCTCAGGTGATCTGCCTGCCTTGGCCTCCCAAAGTGGTGGGATTACAGGTGTGAGCCACCATGCCTGCCTGTATCATTATTGTTTATAAATATTTGTGTATTTGTGAGTATGGGCATAAATGGGGAATTTTTCCCTATTCTGATAGCTCCTCAATTTCAATACCTGATACCACCATCTTTTTCATATCAAGTTTTAAAAAATTAAGATGACTTTGCCAAACACTTCATTTGGACCCTACCGTCTAACTTAGAAACCTATATCTAAAATGACTGCCAGATGATAACTTGGTATAAAGGCTATGTAAAAAGAGGGAGTATAAGAAAAGGCGTTATTAAACTCCTTGTTGGTCACTTATGACTTCTAAGATCACACCATGACCTATGAGCCCACTGAGTTTTGGAACTCAAACTCCAGGAGAGTTGCCTTCTCATACTGGCACACTCTACTCCTTTAACTTACTCTATTTCCCTAGAGTTTCCCCCTCAAAATTGAATGGTTTCTCACTAGACTGTGTGTACCTTTACAGCAGCTCATAATTTGTCCCTTAGAGGAAATACAGTTTGGACTGCTGATTGAGCAAGCCTCAGGGTTTTGGCAGCCTGGGATTCTGTTAATTTAGCAGATGTAAAAGCTTATTTTGTTTTCCTCCATTAATACACTTCTATCTCCATCTCCAACACACAGGGAAAAGCCTTCCCCTCTGTAGCAATGATCCCAGTGGTGAGGACTGATGTAGTTACTTGCATGACCTGATCACTTCACTCCCAGGATGCACAGGGGCTGAGGCTGCTATGGGCAGGGTCAAGTGTCCCTACACGGCACCATCATCTCCTCCCGGATGTTAAGGATGCTGGGTAGATGCTGTCCTGCCAACCAGCCTTGTTGTTGTCTAGTGTACAGTCTTCCTCCAGGGGTGCTGCAGTCTTAGCACCTGAGGTATCTCAGTCTGTGCTCACTGGAAAGTCCAAAGTTCCTGATGACCAGATTCTGCCCCCTACTGTCCCCTACCCTCTCATTCACCTTGTCCCTCAATGAAGTCTGAATCTCAGCTGTGAAGAAGGAGGCTCCTGAATACAGGCAAATCAGTAGAGGTGGTTAAGGGTTTCTGGGCATTTTGAGATAGTTGGAGTAACTCTGTCTGCCCAGAGCATAGTAAGGATGTGGGTGTGGGGAGGGCCAACAGTGGGATCTTTTGCCTAACCCAACACCCACGTGATCCACCAAGATACTCTGTTGCTTACACAAGCTCCTAGTATTTGGCTTGATATATAGAATATATTTAATATTTTCTAACAGATGCAATTTTGATCAGTTTTAGAGGGCTCAGAACCTTTGCAAAGGATCACGTGTACATCAACTAGATGTAGTTGATGGGGACTCAAGGATGGGGACTCAAACTCCTTGGCAACCCCAGAGAGCCTAGCACATTCACCTGCAGAGGGCACATCCTCGGTTTATTCTTGCAAAGGTTCCTGGTCAATGTGGCAGACTTCAGGCTACTCACTGCTGGTAGTGGAACCTTTATTCCTATAAAATCCCATGCGGAAACCCAGTGTAAAAAGTTAATCCATCTCAGCATTTGTTTTCCAGAGTATGATGGTAACAACTCCCATGAGGATGCGGGGAATTACATCAAGAGCCAGTTCCTTGACCTCAGTATGCAACAAGATATCAAAAGAATTTACAGTCACATGACCTGTGCTACAGATACACAGAATATCAAATTTGTGTTTGATGCAGCTACACAGATATTATTATCAAAGAAAACCTCAAGGACTGCGGCCTCTTCAAATCCTCACTATTCCATTCCTCAGGTATAAATGCTATAAACAGGCTTGGAATCTGGGTAATTACAAACAGAAAATTATAGTCAGTATACTATGGCCTGAAGAATGAATCCATTCTTTGGAGATGGAGTATGCATGACTGCAACTGTGTTTCACACATTCTTTTCAAAGTGGGATAGCTAGTGCAGCTTAAAGAGCACAAGGCCAGTCATTAGAAGACCTCTGCCCCGCCCCCACCCCCAGGTTCCAGTACGGGTTTTCCAATTTAGCACAAAAGTCTGTATACTTAAAAAAACTTATCACAGAGTTTTTATATAATTTAAAAGAGGAAAATGTGTAAAGAGCCTAGCACAGTGCATGGCACATAAAGGTGTTCAATAATCGGCAGTGGCATTGCTTTCATTTTCCCATTCTCTTTGCTGCTCTTGAATGGCTTGCCTAGAAAATGAGACCAGGATACGTTCCCTCTCAAGTTCCTGCTCATGCACACAGCTGTTACACACTACCTCAAATGTAAGTGGTTGTAATTAATAATAATTACAATATTCCAAAATTATGTTTAAATCTAGATGTCTGTTCCTTCATACTCTGGCAGTTTTCTTTACATTCTGAACAATTAATGTTTGTCAGTTTCTGTATTAGGTTGGCATTCATAGAATCAGCTGCTCTGATTTAAGGAATGCATCCCCAAGCGGTCCTCTGTCTCCTCACCTATTGAAGTGGCCTAGGTCACCTCCACAGAAGTCTCCAGGCTCTAGAGACCAGGCTCTAGAGACTGGAAGAACTGGGGTTTTGAATCCTGACAGACCTGGGTTTGAATTCCCAGCTCTGCTCCTTACTAGCTAAGTAGTCTCAGGCAAGTCACTTTTTTCTGAGCCTCAGTTTCCTATCTGTAAAACAGGGATAATACTACCTATTATTTAATAGGTGTCAGGATTTAAAATAATATGGATAAGTAGCTAGTACACAGTAACACATTCAATAAAGTATACAACTTTTATTACTGATCCCCAAATACCTCTTTTTATTGTGTTTTTTTCTTCTTTTTTTAGATAGCTTCCCAAGGACAGCGAACAGAATGTCCTATGGAAACATAGTTCCCATGGGGCTACAAATATTGCCAATTTTAGTGAGAAATTACGTTCCTGAGTCAAAATATTTTCCCTATGTATCACTGTTCTTTGAACAATCTATTTTTTTCTTTTAAACCACAATGACAAAAGCCTTCTAAAACTCTGTGGTTTCCAGTGAGCACAAATTAAGGGAACTTAGATGCTAAGATACATTAGAAATCGTCATCAAATTCTTATCCTTGGCTGTATGTACAAGGGAAGTCTCATCTCCTTGGCATACAAGGCTTCTTGCAGCACAGTCCCACCATGTCCTCCCTGGACTGCTCCTGCCACCCAAGCACAGCATGTGTTTTCCCAGTCGCTTTACCTGGAATTCCTACCACCTCCATCTCTCTGCCTGGTAATATCCAAACCTTTGTTCAAATGTCAGCCTCCCTGATAAGCCTTTCTCAACTTTACCAATCACCCTGTAGGCCAGCTTACAAAGCATCCCTACACTGCACTGTTGACTGTAACGAACAAAGCCCCATTACAATGCTTTTCCCATTACGGCAGTTGGGTGTAAGGCCCACTGCCCTAGTTCATAAAGGGAAAGACCTGGGTCTGTTCTTCTTTGCATCCCCTTACAAAAGTTCTGGTAGACAGTAGGAACTCAATGAATATTTGTTGAATGAATACATAAATCGCTAAAAGACACATTTGGGTTACCGAACCGAATCTATCACCTACCAAGATATCATTTTGGGACATCAATTTCTTCATCTGTAAAATCTATTTGCTCTTGCCTATAAAATGGGAATGTAAGGAACTTATCGCAGTTTTTAAATAGCTTAAAGAAGGAAAATGTGTAAAGGGCCTAGCACAGTGCATGGCAGATAAAGATGTTCAATAATCAGTAGTGGCATTGCTTTCATTTTCCCACTCTCTTTGCTCCTCTTGAATGGCTTGTCTAGAAAATGAGACCAGGTTACGTTCCCTCTCATGTTCCTGCTCACGCACACAGCTGTTACATACTGCCTCAAATATAAGTGGTTGTAATTCATAATAATTATAATATTCCAAAATTATGTTTAAATCTAGGTATCTGTTCCTTAATACTCTGGCATTTCTCTTTACATTCTGAATAATTAATGCTTGTCAGTTTCTGTATAGGTTGGCATTCATAGAATTTGTCTCCAAAATTGCTGATTAAAAAAAAAATCATTCCTTTCTGTGTGATCTGTGCTCTGTTGAAGGCAAAAAAGAAACTACATATAATCACCATTGAAACATTTCTAATAAGTTTTAGACATAAAAATAAATTCACTTGAAGGTTTAAATGAACAATTCCATTCAATTACGGCATTCAAATAAAAACTTTTCACACTGATAGCTCTCAGGGATTATTATTTTTACACACTTAATATTACATTTTGTGGCGCTCTGGTTTATTTACCCTGGTGTGTTTGTATTTTCTCACTACTTTTTGTCCCAGAAATGACTGTTGCACCAAATTTCTTAAAGAGAATCTCTGGGCTGGGCACGGTGGTGCATGCCTGTAATCCCAGCACTTTGGGAGGCTGAGGCAGGCAGATCACAAGGTCAGGAGTTCGAGACCAACCTGGACAACATGGTGAAACCCCATCTCTACTATAAATACAAAAATTAGCTGGGCATGGTGGCACACCCCTGTAATCCCAGCTACTCGGGGGCTGAGGCAGGAGAATCGCTTGAACTCAGGAAGCGGAGGTTGCAGTGAGCTGGGATCGCACCATTGCACTCCAGCCTGGGTGACAGAGCGAGACTCTTGTCTCAAAAAAAAAAAAAAAAAAAGAGAGAGAGAGAGAGAATCTCTGTTGCAATGCAAAACTAACTGTAAAATTATCAGAAATTTTTCAATCAAGAAAACAAATCTGTCATTTTCCTATCAAGCAAAAACCCTTAGGATTATATCTCCCCGTGGATGAAGCAAAACGTGTTTAACAGCCTGTATAAGGTCCTCCATAATCTACCCCACACTCACCTTCTCCTTTCTCCCCTCCAGCCACACTGAACTTCTTTTGCTCCTCAAAGTCAATATGCTCCTTCACCTCCAGGCCTTTGAACGTGCTATTTATTGCCTCGCCTTTCCCTTTTCACCTGGCTGATCTCTTATCCTTCAGGTCTCAGCCGTGAGACCTCTGTCATATTCTCGCACACAGCTAATGACATCTGCGTTTATTGGTTTGTCAACTCCTTCAGGGCAGGTGCCATGTCTAACTTATTTACCCCTATAGTCTCATGCTAGCACATGCCATGAACTATATTAGGCATTCAATAAATGTTTACTAAATAAGTGGAATGAATCTATCTGGAGAGAAATATAATTTCACTAACTATACTTTGGGATATAGAAATTAACTTTATGGCTCTCAGTTTTGACTTTCACCTGCATTCAACATTAACCATGACCTCTAGAGGAAAGAGTTAACATAGCCAGTATGTTTTACTCAGTTCTTGCTTGTCTTTGGGAACACCTGCAGTCACAGCAATGACCCTGACCCAAATCCTGAGCACTAAACTCCCTGAAATGCTTACTAATTAGTTATGTTATTTTTGTGCCCTCAAGGCAGTGGTCAAAATATATCAAGACAGTATCATTGTTTAAAGTTGACATGAAGATTCCTGATGCATCCTAGTACCTAGTTTGGGGTCTGCATCCTGGCTGGTTACATAGCTACACGACCAGCTCCCTTGACCAGCTCTGAACCCCTAAGACTTGAGTGGGCTTTCCTGGGTGGAGGCGTTTTGCATATGTCTCTGCAGTTTACAGCTGGAGAGAAACATGCATTCCTGAGAAACATGTGGAATCCCTACAGAGAGAGGACAAGAAAGCCTACTACGACTTCTCTAGTTTTGCCACCATATATCTGTATCCTGCTGTTCCTGCACCATACCCTTTGCTGTAATAAATCTTAGCCTTGAATATGATTCTATATTGAGTCGTGAGTGAGTCCTTCCAGCAAATCACTAGTAGGTGGTCATGGTACTCCCCAAAACAACTGCCTTCTTGAGCCACTCCCCTTTTTGACATCTGTGACATCACTCTTAATTTTCCTTCTACCTCATTACTGATCTTTTCCCATCTCCATTCTTGGCTCCTCTACTCTATCAGACTAACTGTGTGACGGTGCTATAGCTCGATTCTGGCCTTCTTTTCTTTATCTCTACTCTCTTGCTAGATTATTTTATTAGTCCTGCAGGTTTCAATACCATTTCTATGTTGATGACTCCCAACTTTCTTTCTGCAGCCAAACTTCTCTCTTGAGCTCCACTTATATACCCAACCGTCTCCACTGGATACCTCCTGAGGAGTTCACAATTTCTAAAGAAAATGTCTGAATCAGAGCCCTTGATTTCATCCCAAATCTGTCCTCTTCCAGTTTTGTCCATCTAACATAAGAACACTTCATACACTCAGTCGAGCACAAAACCTAAGCATCATCCTTGATTTTCCTCTTCTGCTCACACGCCTTCCTCCTCCAATCCAATCCAATCTAATCCAATCCAATCCAATCCAATCCAATCCAACCCAACCCAACCCAACCCATTAGCAAGTACTCTTGGTTTTATTTCCAAAACAGATTTCCAATCCTTTCACTTGCCTCCATTCCTAACAGAGCATCTTAATCCAAATCACCATCATCAACATTTGCCAGGACTACTGTAACTGGATTAGTCTCCCTGCTTCTATTCTGGCCATTTTCTGTATTCAGCAGCTAAAGTTATCTTTCTAAAACCCACATCAGATTGCATCACTCTCTTCTTAAAACCCTTCAATGGTTTCCCATTATTCTCAGAACAGAATTCAAACTCTCCACTTTAGAATTGGCTTAGAAGGCACTCTATGCTCTGTCCCCTGTGTACCTTCCAACTTGCTCAAAGACCACTTTCCCCTTGCTCACTGGGCTCCAGCCACCCTGGTCTCACTTCTGTTCTACTCTTTCCACCTCGAGGCCTTTGCACATCACTTGCACTTTGTGCACTTTGTAATCAGGCTATAAGATCTAGCTGACTGTCACCTTTCAGATCTCCACTTTAACCTACCATCTTTTCAGGCAGGCCTCCTGTCATTCTTTCCATACAACATTCTCTCAAACAGTAACTGCTATGTTTTAGGCACTGAAAATACAGTGACAAGTAGGATAGGCTCCATGCTTTCATGGAACCTATGTTCCACAGTAACTGTCACTCTCCATTATACTAAACTATGTATTTGCTTCATAGCAATGATCAAAATCTGAACTCGCCTTGTTTTTTGTTTGCCTCCCTCACTAGCACATGTAAGAAACATCAGAGCAGAGATGCTATTTGCTCATGACTCTGTCTCTAGCCTAACACAGTGCCTGGCACACACAGACTGGGATTTACTTCCAAGCAAGAATTATTTGACCAAAGAGCTCTCAGTGTAAAAAATGTTTGGAAGTTTCTGCAATTGACTGACATGGTGTTATGCTAGAACTGTATGCCATAGAGTTTGGAAACACATTTTGTACCCTTAGAAGTACATGTTCTTACAACTCGAAAGATGGCCAAGTCCAACTAAAAAGTTCGTCAAGGCTAGAATGTGACATTTCCCAATTTATCTTTCTGTTTCTTCATAAATTGAAAGGAACTGACAGTAACACATGACAAACCAGCTAGGCTTATCTCTACCACACTAAGATTATTCATCTGAGTCCCAAAGAGCAATGGAAAAAATTACGTGTCTGCCCCAATTGAACAATCTTTATCTGAAATTTAACTGTGCACATTTAGTATTATTAGTAAGGTGTGAATAGTTTAGATATTTGTTCCCCCAAATTTCATGCTGAAATGTCATCCCCCATGTTAGAGGTGGAGCCTGGTGGGAGACGTTTGGGTCATGGGAGTGGATCTCTCATGGCTTGGTGTTGTCCTCACAATAATGAGTGAGTTCTCACGAGATCTGGTTGTTTAAAAGCGTGTGGCACCTCCCACCCCCTCTTTCTCTTGTTTCTGCTTTCACCATGTGACGTGCCTGGTCCTGCTTCACCTTCTGCCATGAGTAAAAGCCTCCTGATGCCTCCCTAGAAACTGAGCAGATGCTGGGGCCACGCTTGTGCAGCCTGCAGAACGCTTAGCCAATTAAACCTCTTTTCTTTATAAATTACCCAGTATTTCTTTCTAGCAACCCAAGAACAGCCTAACACAAGCTGTAAATAAATCTCTCCAGTTAAACAATGGGAAAACTGCTGTAGAATCGCCACATGTTAAATGACCCTACGCTTCCCACATGTCTCTAGGTGTCTATGTTTTCATAAGAGTGACTATCCCCGTGAAAAGGATTTTAACGAGTGGGCTCAACTGAGTCACCAACAATGGACAAGGGAATAAATATTTAACAAGGACTAAAAATTAAGGTGAAACTACCTTCAACAGTTCATCTGTGTATTTCCAAAACTGTGCCCTTCTGGACCACTCACAGCAAGAATAGTTAGACATATCATCTGCCTTCACCTAAAATAAGTACAACATTTCTGAGTATAGAGGGGGGAAAAGACACTTAAAATGGAAGGGTTTCATATCTCTGCTTAAGCTTTTTTTTTCTTTTTCTTTTTCTTTTTCTTTTTTTTTTTTAGACAGAGACTCACTGTGGGCCAGGCTGGAGTACAGTGGCACAGTCTCGGCTCACTGTAACCTCCACCTCCTGGGTTCAAGTGATTCTCCCGCCTCAGACTCCAGAGTAGCTGGGATTACAGGTGTGCACCACCATGCCTGGCTAATTTTTTTTTTTTTTGCATTTTTTTAGTACACACGGGGTTTTGCCACGTTGGCCAGGCTGTTCTCAAACTCCTGGCCTTAAGCAATCGGCCTGCCTTGGCCTTCCAAAGTGCTGGGATTACAGGCCTGAGCCACTGTGCCTGGCCCCTGCTTAACTCTTGGGGGAAAAAAGGCCTTCTTCACATGATCCCTCCCACCTTTTTTCTTTGTCAAAATTCTGTGACAGACCCTTGAATTATTCCTGGACTGTTCAAATAAAGCCAGAGGCATTTATTTAAACACTTTTTTTTTTTTTTTGAGACAGAGTCTTGCTCTGTCACCCAGGCTGTAGTGCAGTGGTGTGATCTCGGCTCTCAGCTCACTGCAACCTCCACCTCCCGGGTTCAAGCGATTCTCCTGCCTCAGCCTCCCAGGTAGCTGGAATTACAGGCACCTGCCACCATGCCCGGCTAATTTTTGTAATTTTAGTAGAGATGGGGTTTCACCATGTTGGCCAGGCTGGTCTTGCACTCCTGGCCTCAAGTGATCCACCCGCCTCAGCCTCCCAAAGTGCTGGAGTTACAGGTGTGAACCACCGCAACCAGCCTAAACACTTCTTAATGAAGGCAGGGGTGAGTGTGATGGTGGTGAACCTCCTATAATTACTCTTTTCTTATTACATGTTTGGTCAGTGTTTTAGGGGGCTGAAGGCAAGGGGTGGGGGTAGACCCATTTTAGGCTAGCCAGTGAATAATTCAACTGTGTCCTTTACTGCCTGAAAGTCCGTAACTTCTCTGAGGCCTTCTCCTACATGCCAGTGACTTATCTTGAACTGGGGCATAATTGTGGTCCCCCAATTCTACCTCTCTAAGTTATCATATTATTTACTACTAATATAAAACTAATTTTAACAAAAAGTTCATAAGAAAACAATGTCATTTTCTTGAGGGACTGAAGAACTTACATACAATATAGGTAACTATATAAAAGTGTATAAAGTTACATATAATATATGTAACAATATAAAAGTATATTTAAAAATGTACATCCTATATACTTATGTATTATTTAATATACTACATACAATATATTTGCATTCATATGTTTCATTTAATAAGCACATAATAACTCTTAATCTTTGTCCTTGAGAGTATCTGTTACATGTAATAAGCACATCTTAGTGCCTAGGATACAAAGCTGAACAAAGCCTGGTCCTTGGCCTCTATGTGAACATAGAGTTACTGGAAGATGCTCAAGAGGAGAAGAGGTGTGGAAGGAGATTCTGACTCTGCCCAGGGAATAGAAAAAGGCTTCCTGGAGGAAGCAACATTTTGAACTAAGTTTCAATTAACGTAATGAATGATCAAATGGTCTCTAACATTTATTCGTGCTCTAAAAACATGATGTTATGCTAAATTTCACCTGCCTGTATTTGTATATGTGCGTGTGTATTATGTGGGAAAGGAGGCTTAGTTATGTGTTTGAATAACTGTCAATTCATGATACTTTAGTTGTGATTTTTAAGTGTGGTTCTAGTTTTCACGGATTTGCATCAGAATAATTTAAAAACTGGATAAGCAACTAATTGAAAGTTCTTTAAACAAACAGAAGGATTACTTAATTGGCTTCTCCTGAATTCTGTGATAGACTAAAGACTGGGGTAGTAGGCACTATCATTACTGCCTTTGTATCCCCACTGTCAAGGTAGTTATCTTCAACTCCGGGTAAGTGCGTGATAACTCTGTGAAGCCAGCTCCAAGGCAATTTGTTTGAAGTTGGCAGCATTTTTTTTTTTTTTTTTTTGATGCAGTGGAGATTAAGCCCTCCAGTTGAGCTTGACAAAGGTATGTATGTGAAAGGTCACAGATAGAAAATGTGTATTTTTAAAACCTGTGACATGCAGCAGTCCTCAGAAAACAGAGATGAGAAACATTTTTAATGTGCATTTTGTGTCTTTTATTTTAACACAAATTCAAATTAGGACTTACTAACCTCTTCACAAACTACTATACAGTATTACATTTAATTGCTAGGAAGAATGTCAATTGTTTTAAATCACTAGACAGAAGTGTTTTTTGTTTGTTGTTTGTTTGTTTTAAAGAGACAGACTCTTGCTGTGTTGCCCAGGCTGGAGTGCAGTGGCTGTTCACAGGTGCGATCATAGTGCAGTACAGCCTCAAACTCCTGGGTTCAAGTGATTCTCCTGTGTAAACCTCCCAAGTAGCTGGGACTACAGGACCAAGCCTAGCTCCAAACAGGAAGATTTGACTAAATTTGACTTAGTCTCCTTCCCTTAACCCAAATGCATGTTGGTATTTGATATAGAGTGTGTGTGTGTGTGTGTGTGTGTGTGTGTGTGTGTGTGTGTGTGTGTGTGTGTTTTGAGTAATTTCACTTTAAGGTTTTCTTTTGTTTTTTTTTTTACATCTTACTTTCTTACTTTGCATTCTTAGAGAAAGGGGTGTTCTAAACACACAAACTGAAAGGAGGAATCAGGACTAATGGCAGTTATCACATCTCAAATGTAGATACTGCTGTAACCACAGTGTTACCGTCAGATACACACGTTCAGGGATTAAGAACAGAAACTAAGCACCTTTTGGATGCTGGCCACATGAGCTTCAAGTGGGTCCTTAACAGCTCTCTTTGTGCTTTTACACCAATAGTTCTTAACTCTATCAGATGATGCCTCTTGCTTTCATATCCAATATTTTGCAACTTCTATTTTATCATGCTGGCATACAATTCTAACACATTTACATACATAATTTCAAAAGATCAATATAGTGTTCAAACTATATAAAGCAGAAATAAAAAAAGAATGCAATTTACATAAGATATGGTATCCATATGCAATAACTTGGGTACTCCACTAGAAGACAAAGAAATCACATGCTTGTATCTATACTTGAGAGTCACCGTGAACATATAGATTACAAATGCAGATTGGTTTGGCTCTTTGTTCACTGTTGTCAGGATTCTCTGAATATGAAATATCTCTCAGTCACGTTAAGAGCAAAACAAAATATAATTTCCCCTCAATTTACATATAGTGGCATCCCTGAAAAGTTCAGTATATATTAAAACTGTTGGGGGGAAATATTTTGTATTTGTATACAAAAAAGATTTTGGTTTTAGGCTCAGATAATTGTAAGCTCATCTTACCCTATGGAGGACATTAGAAAATTGTGGGCGGAGGGGACAGTGGCTCATTCCTTTAATCCTAGAGCTACGGGAGGCTGAGGCAGGAGGATCACTTGAGCTCAGGAGTTCGAGACCAGCCTGGGCTACATAGTGAGACACCTGTCTCTACTTAAAAAAAAAAAAAAAAAAAACCTAAAATTGTGGGGAATAATGTAAGCATGACAAGATAAGTGATAGGAAGGGCGCAGTGGCTCACGCCTGTAATCCCAGCACTTTGGGAGGCTGAGATGGGCAGATTATGAGGTCAGGAGTTCGAGACCAGCCTGGCCAACATGGTAAAACCCTGTCTCTACCAAAAATTAGCCAGGCGCAATGGTGGGTGCCTGTAACCCTAGCTACTCAGGAGGTTGAGGCAGGAGCATTGCTTGAACCCAGGAGGCGGAGTGAGCCGACATTGTGACACTGCACTCCAGCATGGGCGACAGAGCGAGACTCCATATAGAAAAAAAAAAAAGGCAATGTCTTTAAGAAACCCTGAATGTTTCAAGAATAAGAATAAGGCTGATAGCTGATAAATGTCTCAGAAAGGTACTCTGCGTATTATGTTAAAGGGGAAAGGCTTACTAAACCCATATAACTTTAAATCACAAACATGTATATTATAGCTGAATTTCCTAGATTTTAGTGGTTTTCTTCATATTCATCCTCAATATGTCAGTATTTGCATCACAATAGGCATTTTATACAGGATCTCAAGCAAACTGGTTTTACGAGCATATTTGGGAAATGAGCAGAGTGTGACGGATGACCAAGTGTTGTGCCAAAATTTTATATACAATGCTGTTTTCTGAGGGTAAATCACCGGCTAAAATCTATCCAGTTGAGGGCAAGTGATCATGAGAGATCTGTGTATGTGAACATAGTACTTTCCTCTTAGGAGCAAGAATCTTAACCAATGTTAGGGAGATTTCTGAACATCTGAAATGGTATAGGACTCCTAGTAGAGGAATTCAGTGAATGTCTGTTAATGATGGGAAGGTGAGAGTTCTTAGGGAAAGGGGCAAGAGAAATAAATTCTCCCTCATACTTACAACATAACAATGAGAAATACATACTACAATCATCTTTCAAAGCACTAATGACAGTATTGATTTATGACTAGTGTAAGTTTTAGAAGAGTTGTTTTATTTTTCTTAATATGCATTTCCCAAGAAATTATAAATCAACACAATCTTTTTGGAAGGCAATTTGGTATATATATCAAATACTTAAAACAGCTTTAGACTTAGTAATTTCCTTTTTGGGTATGTATTAATAATAATAATAATAGCAGCTTTTACATAGCACTTACTATGTGCCAGGAATTATTCTAAAGACCCATGGTCACGTAGCTACAAAACTGAGAATCCGGAATTTGAACTTGGGCAGGTGATTCCAAAGCCTGTGCTCAGATTTTTGCTGTCTTAGCTACAAGGATGTTCACTACAGCATTGATCATAACAGCGAAAGTTTAGAAACAAACTAAATATTCACCAGTGGGGCATAAGTTAAACAATAAAATATCTATTGACAGGACACAAAACAGAAATTAAAAATCAAGTTTTAGAGATAACATGTTTGCATGGACAAACAAAATAAGATATTTGACTCAGGGGGGTAAAAAGGCTCAAAACTGTGTAGTATGATTGCAGTCTACTAAATGTTTCCTTTGGATGGTGAGATTTTAATTTTCTTTTTGGTGCTTTGTTGTATGATCCAAATTTTCTAAATGAACTAGAATTCCTTTTGTACGCAGGAAAAAATTAATAATAACAAATTGCACTCTATAGCAGCACAGTCCGATCAAAATATAATGCAAGTCATATATATAATTTTAATCTTCTGCTAGTTACAATAATGTAAAAAGAAACAGGTGAAATTAATTTTTATTTATATATTTATTTATTTTTGAGATGGGGGTCTCACCCTATCACCCAGGTTAGAGTGCAGTGGCACAATTACAATCTTGGTTCACTGCAACCTCCACCTCCCAAGCTCAAGCAATCCTCCCACCTCAGCCTCCCAAGTAGCTGGGATGACAGGCATATGCCACCATGCGCAGCTAATTTTTTGTATTTTTGGTAGAGATGGGGTTTTGCCATGTTGCCCCAGCGGGTCTCAAACTCCTGAGCTCGGGCGATCCACCTGCCTCAGCCTCCCAAAGTGCTGGGATTACAGGTGTGAGCCACTGCTTTTGGCCTTGAAATTAATTTAAAAAAATATTTCTTATTTAACATATCTAAAATATTATCATTTCAACATGTAATCAATATAAAACATTATTAGTGAAATATTTTCCTTTTTTGTATTAAGTCTTCAAAGTCACTTTCTAGCACACCTCAGTTTGGTCTAGTCATATTTCAACTCCTCAATTGCTTAGTGGCTAATGGCTACTGAATTGAACAGCTCTAGATCCTTGGTAGAGCTATACCTTCAGGTCAAATGTGCCCAAACCATGGTCCTAAAACCCTCTACTAATGACCTCAACTTCCATGGAATCATCCCCATCTGTGTCAAGCTGCTTTTTATTTTTATTTATTTATTTTATTTTATTATTATTATACTTTAAGTTTTAGGGTACATGTGCACAATGTGCAGGTTAGTTACATATGTATACATGTGCCATGCTGGTGTGCTGCACCCATTAACTCGTCATTTAGCATTAGGTATATCTCCTAATGCTATCCCTCCCCGCTCCCCCAACCCCACAACAGTCCCCAGAGTGTGATGTTCCCCTTCCTGTGTCCAATGTGTTCTCATTGTTCAATTCCCACCTATGAGTGAGAATATGTGGTGTTTGGTTTTTTGTTCTTGCGATAGTTTACTGAGAATGATGATTTCCAATTTCATCCATGTCCCTACAAAGGACATGAACTCATCATTCTTTGTGGCTGCATAGTATTCTATGGTGTATATGTGCCACATTTTCTTAATCCAGTCTATCGTTGTTGGACATTTGGGTTGGTTCCAAGTATTTGCTATTGTGAATAGTGCCGCAATAAACATACATGTGCATGTGTCTTTATACCAGCATGATTTATAGTCCTTTGGGTATATACCCAGTAATGGGATGGCTGGGTCAAATGGTATTTCTAGTTCTAGATCCCTGAGGAATCGCCACACTGACTTCCACAATGGTTGAACTAGTTTACAGTCCCACCAACAGTGTAAAAGTGTTCCTATTTCTCCACATCCTCTCCAGCACCTGTTGTTTCCTGACTTTTTAATGATCGCCATTCTAACTGGTGTGAGATGGTATCTCATTGTGGTTTTGATTTGCATTTCTCTGATGGCCAGTGATGGTGAGCATTTTTTCATGTGTTTTTTGGCTGCATAAATGTCTTCTTTTGAGAAGTGTCTGTTCATGTCCTTCACCCACTTCTCGATGGGGTTGTCTGTTTTTTTCTTGTAAATTTGTTTGAGTTCATTGTAGATTCTGGATATTAGCCCTTTGTCAGATGAGTAGGTTGCGAAAATTTTCTCCCATTTTGGAGGTTGCCTGTTCACTCTGATGGTAGTTTCTTTTGCTGTGCAGAAGCTCTTTAGTTTAATTAGATCCCATTTGTCAATTTTGGCTTTTGTTGCCATTGCTTTTGGTGTTTTAGACATGAAGTCCTTGCCCGTGCCTATGTCCTGAATGGTAATGCCTAGGTTTTCTTCTAGGGTTTTTATGGTTTTAGGTCTAACGTTTAAGTCTTACACCAGTAACAGACAAACAGAGAGCCAAATCATGAGTGAACTCCCATTCACAATTGCTTCAAAGAGAATAAAATACCTAGGAATCCAACTTACAAGGGACATGAAGGGCCTCTTCAAGGAGAACTACAAACCACTGCTCAATGAAATAAAAGAGGATACAAACAAATGGAAGAACAATTCCATGCTCATGGGTAGGAAGAATCAATATCGTGAAAATGGCCATACTGCCCAAGGTAATTTATAGATTCAATGCCATCCCCATCAAGCCACCAATGACTTTCTTCACAGAATTGGAAAAAACTACTTTAAAGTTCATATGGAACCAAAAAAGAGCCCGCATTGCCAAGTCAGTCCTAAGCCAAAAGAGCAAAGCTGGAGGCATCATGCTACCTGACTTCAAACTATACTACGAGGCTACAGTAACCAAAACAGCATGGTACTGGTACCAAAGCAGAGATATAAATCAATGGAACAGAACAGAGACCTCAGAAATAACGCCGCATATCTACAACTATCTGATCTTTGACAAACCTGAGAAAAACAAGCAATGGGGAAAGGATTCCCTATTCAATAAATGGTGCTGGGAAAACTGGCTAGCCATATGTAGAAAGCTGAAACTGGATCCCTTCCTTACACCTTATACAAAAATTAATTCAAGATGGATTAAAGACTTAAATGTCAAGCTGCTTTTTAAAAGAGAATAGAGAGGTGCTTGGGAAATAGGCAGATCTGAGTTTGAATCTTCTAATACTTAGCTATGTTATCTTCAGCAAGTTAATTAACCTCTCTGTGCCTCATTTTACCTGTTTTGTAAATGAGGATAAGGCCTACTTTGAGTTGCTGAGATCGAAATAATGTCTTAAACTATTTACTACATGGAAAGTACTTGATAACAGAGACTACTAAATTTGGCTGGCTTTAAAAAATCTCTAATAGTATTATCACTAGTAAGGAAGGTGTTATTATCCCGCCTACTGTATTCAGATACAATGATGATCAGACTTAGCAGGAGGCAAGACAAGATACTTTTTTTTTTTTTTTGAGACAGGGTCTTGCTCTGTAGGCCAGGCTGGAGTACGGTGGCACGATCATGGCCCACTGCAGCCTTGAACTCCCAGGCTCAAGTGATTCTCCTGCCTCAGTTTCCCAAGTAGCTGGGACCACAGGCATGCACCATTATGCCTGGTTAATTAAATTTTTTTTTTTTTTTTTAAGAAATGGAGTCTCCCATGTTGCCTAGGCTGGTCTCCTGAAGTGCTGGGATTATAGACGTGAGCCACCACACCCAGTCAATGCAAGATTCTTAAAATAGATGGTAGGAAATCTCATTTAAAATGGCCCTTTGGGGTTTTGTATGTAGCAGAGCAGTTCTTTCATTGCTATCTATTGATAGTCAACCCTCAACACAAGGGTTCATTTTTTAAAAAAATAATAAAATGTTCCTAAACTAATTTTGGGGTGTGTGTGGAGAGACTACCCTGAGAAATTCACAGTAAATACATTTGTATTTGAAAATGAGCTACCTAATGGCAGGGAATGAATGACACACACGTTTGTTTGCTTCCCATGCCTTTTGCTCAGCAAATATTTGATCCATTAAATAAATAGATATAGATTATTGATTATGTGCCAGGCATCCTTCTAGACAAAGGGGTTGGGGCAAAAAATGGGAGGTGCTTCCTTAATTGAACGGAGGATTGAACGAACGAACTGATGAACACTGTACCTTTTCTGATTTTTCTGAACTAAGTCATCAGTACTTTTTTGCTTCTCTTGTTTCACCTAAGATTTTCTTTACTATGTCACTAGGCAGTGGGATTTCCTTCAAAAGGCTCAACTGAAATATGGTCTACTATGGCTGAAGCTGGGTATAGATGTGTTTAACTTTTGTGTGGATTTTAAAAGTTTCAAAATAAAAACGTTTTTAAAAATCACCAATAATAATAGAAGGTAATTATCATGACATGTATCAATGGTTTTATAGTATCCCTGTTTATAACAGAGTTAACCAAAAACTATACAGATGCTCAAAGAGGTGAATGACTAAGAAAATTCACATAATCAAGAGGATAGAATACTAAACAGCAACGAATTCACATCTACCGACTTTGTCAATTCATGGAAATATCTAAGGAAATAACATGAAATGAAAAAACAAGCAGAATATAATCCACAATTACAACAAAGAAAATATGTGATATGCATATATTTACATAGGCATAGCACATATATTTAAGTTTTTACAAAAACTAAACATGTATTTAGTTACTTAGGAATATTACTTTCCCTTCTGGGTAAGACTGCCCACGTTAATACATGTAATATAAATAAATAAATAAATAACACGTGTATAATAAATTCTGTTTATTTTCTTTTATTTTGAGATAGAGTTTCACTCTTGTCACCCAGGCTGGAGTGCAGTGGCATGATCTTGGCCCACTGCAACCTCTGCCTCCTGGGTTCACGCTATTCTCCGGTCTCAGCCTCTCTAGTAGCGGGAACCACAGGTGCACACCACCATGTCTGGTTAATTTTTTGTATTTTTAGTAGAGACAACGTTTCACCATGTTGGCCAGGCTGGTCTCAAATTCCTGACCTCAGGTGATCCTCCCGCCTCGGCCTCCCAAGGTGCTGGGATTACAGGCATGAGTCACTGGGCCTGGTCATAAATTCTGTTTTCTAAGCAAACTTATCTTACATCAGAGGGCAGAATGGTTAGGGAAAATATCTAGTGAAAAAGACCACCAACAAAGGAGCACCATCTCTCAATTGTCACACTAATGTGCAGTGACACTTTGGCAACTGACTCCCAGTTACTGGCATACAGTTTCATCTACCAGTTGGAGCCAAATGGCAGATTTGGGATTTTTCTTAATCCGAGTTATTATTCAGAACAACATATTCAACACAAATATTTAACCACTAGTGTCAGATTTTATTTTTACATGATAACTCCTCAAGCCTTTAACCGCAAGAGTGCATACAAGGTAAAATTAAAAACAAAATTAAGCCTGCTGACTTTCACTGTGATTGTGGTTTGATATCATGCAGGATAGATCACAACTGCTGATTCATATTAGGAAAGAGAGCCCCCAACTGTCACAAGCACATTGTGTTTGAAAATACAAAACCTTACCAAATCACTTAGTACTTAAAATTAACAACATCCTCATCATCTTGTGGTTGAAATGATGACTGAACAATAACTCAAGCTAGTTGTGTTCTATATATTTTTAATTAATATAATTAGTATTCCTAGATCTTTTTAAATTGCTCTACTCTAGCCCTAGGGAAAAATGATTTCAGAAGGCTGAATACGTATGCTGATTCAAGATATGATTTCTCACACACCCAACCTCTATAATTTTGGATTATAGAGCAATATAGAGTAATTCTGGCACCATCTCTTTGGCAATGCTGTTTAAAAACAAAGTTACTATTACACACAGCCCAGGATATTGACTTCGCATTGCACATAAATACATTTATATAATACTTTTTCTTTAATATAGAAGCCATAGCCTTGATTTTTTTGAAAAATGATGAAGAATATGGTAATTATGAGACTCTCAATTGACTCAAAAGTTCAGAGCTAAAATCAAGGTAGAGTTTGAACACACCTTACAAAAAGTTGAGATCCAAATTGCATAAAATTTATGAAACTTTTGATTTAAGGACTAAGTTTTCTGGTAACCTCTTTGGGAACATCAGGATAATAAAAGATGATTAAGTAATAATGGTATCTCGGCCGGGCACGGTGGCTCATACCTGTAATCCTAGCACTTTGGGAGGCCGAAGCAGGAGGATCACAAGGTCAGGAGTTTGAGACCAGCCTGGCCAATATGGTGAAACCCCATCTCTACTAAAAATACAAAAAAATTAGCCAGCTGTGGTGGCGCATTCCTGTAATCCCAGCTACTCGGGAGACTGAGGCAGGAGAATTGCTTGAACTCAGGAAGCCGGAGGTTGCAGTGAGCCGAGATCACGCCACTGCACTCCAGCCTGGGCAACAGAGCGAGACTCTGACCAAAAAAAAAAAAAAAAAAAAAAGAAAGAAAGAAAGAAAGAAAGAAAGATGAAATAACGATATCTGATCAAATTATTTGCCTTGGCCGGATGGGTGCCAGTCCTGGCTATAAAATTCACCATCTGGGAGACCTTGAACAAATTATTTAATTTATCTGATTCAAACTTGCTGTCTATAAAAATGAAAATAACTTTATGTAGTTTCTAACTTAGAACAATAAATTATTAATGATAAATATGAAAATGCTGGGAAGAGTTTCAATCACTACTAATATATATTCATTATCTAGCATTGTCTTCTTCAAATGGATACATTTTAAAAACAGCCTTTAATCATAGAACCACTTTTTTGCATAACTTTAAGCCATAGGGCTAATTATACACGACACAAATCTAACCAACAGAACTGTACTACTTAGATTAAAAGAAACTTGCAGAAATGATAGTTTTGCATAACTTTAAATAAAAGGCTAACTACAGATGACACAGAAATCTTACCAACAAAACTGCATTATTTCAGTTTAAAAGAGACATGAAGAAATGACATTAACAGTCCAAGTCATATATAAAGAAGCCCACACAAAGGGGAACTGAAACGGATAAACGGACTTACTTGGGAGTTTATCTTGAAAAGGAACTAAAACATACATCCCAAATAACCAATGTCTGCAAGATCCAAAAAGACAGAAGAACTCCAATAATGGAAAGGACTCAGTGACACTGAATTACAATGGACAAGTCCAGTAAAATTCAGTTCTTCCTACTATTCCTCCCAACAAAAGCAGAAAACAACCAACACGCACGGTACCGGTTGACTTGTTCTGTGCCACTCAGAGTAGGTGCGTGGAAGAGCAGACAGGAAGCTGGGGCATATTTAATGAATACTGAAAGGGAGGACTGAGGGTTTGGCAAAGTGTTCACGAGACGGACCCTACCTTTCACAGATTTCCCAATACTGTGTAAGTGAGTGACAGAACTGTAGTTTTGGGCAACAGTCTTCAAAAACGCTTCCATCCCTTCCTGGCGGTGGTAGTTGAAATCCAGCGCAGCTACCAAAGGCAGCAACAGCCCTAGCCAGAGGCACGGGAAGTCCATGTTCTAGAGATGAATAAAAATAAGAAGAACCTGAGAACACATGAGGGCAGGCGGGGGCATCACCAGCTACGTCTCGGTACTCCGGTCTCAGGGTCTCCCGACACTGACGCTCCCTGCCTCCTAAGGAGGCAAAAGCTGGAAGCAACACCTTCGGGAGTGAGCCGTGCAACCAGAGACCGGGAGCACGGGCAGCCTCGGTGCCCTCGACCCAGCCGCCCGCGCCTCCCTCTCCTCCTCCTCCTGGCGCCTCCGCCGTCCGGCAGCTGCCACAGCTGCGCCCGGCCCCGCGCACCCCCAGCCTCACCAGGTCCCAGGCGCGCACCTCTACCCACCCGCGGCCGCCCGGCGGGGCCGGGTGTTATAGCCCGGTCAGAGGGCGGGCGCGCCCGGGCCCCGCCCCCGGACGTCCCTCCGGCCCACTCCGGAGCCGCGCGGGTGCCTCCCGGGCGGGGCCTCAGCCGCCTTCGCACCTAGGAGAGACGGCGCCCGCGCGGTGCGCCCTTTCGTGGCGCGGCTGCTGGTGCCCGCGGCCGGGCGGCTGAGCTGGGCGGAGGGCTGCGGGCATGGAGTCGCCGCTCGCGGACAGTCTTTGCTGGAGCCCCAGGTCAGAAGTGTGTCCTCGCCTCGGCCACGGCTGTAGCCTGGGCAGCCACAGGGCGCTCCACCGAGGGACACTCTCTGTCGCAGACTGCAGCCGCTTGGGAGACGTTTAGGGCTCGGCGGGTTTCCTGCGGTTGGCGGTGCCGGGGCCCACCTGGAGCCGGGACGCATGCGGAGTCCTGAGTGCCCTGAGCCCCGCGCGGGCTCCTGCGGGACGGGCGGCGTCGGCCCCGGCAGGGCGAGCCAAGCTCCCAGCAGTGCCAAGCTGCCCAGCGAGGCTAAGCAATCACGGGGCTTCGAGAAAGAACGCGCGCGTGTGTGGAAGTTTTAAATGCCACGAAGTGCAGAGTGCAGGACATTTTCCAACAAGTTTACATAGTGGGTGGGATTTGTGTAAATTAGAATTGAATTTAAAACTGGAAGTCACATCGAAGAAGGCAGGACCACTGTTGTAAATCCGATGCTTCCTCCACCTGCACCTGAGTCTTAGGCCAATTACAGGTCTCTCGTCCTAAAACGTCCTAAAATGCTCCTTTCTGGAAGGATGGCATGGTCTCTGCACGAGAGAGAACGAAGGCTTCACTCAAACCTGAGAGGTGGTTTGTGGCACGGGCCAACCCCCTCTACCTCTCTAAAAGATTCATTCTCATTCATTCTCTCTCTCTCCCCTCCCCCTCTCCCCTTCCCTCTCTCCCCCTTTCTCCCACTCTCTCCCGGATTGTAAGTAACCGTGTCAGGGTATTGGGGGCCCGTGTCAAGGTCCGCAGAATATAAAAAGTTTGAAAACCACTGATTTGAGATAACATTCCACTTTTACAGACTAAAAATACGGATGCAAGCCCACGACTAATTGAATAGAATTTTTCTCGTGGAGGCCCAAGAAAGTGTATTTTTAGAGAGGACCTTGAATGAATCTAATGTGCCTTCAAGAGCTGAGAACCGTTAGATTCCCTGCCCCTTCTTTCTTACAGATATAGATACTTTTCCTAGAATTGCGCACTCAGGACTCCCTGAGACTTCCAGTGATTCTGCCGCAGCATAGAAGAGTGGTTTAAGAACTGAGGCGCTCTGCCCTTGCGATAGTTTGCTGAGAATGATGGTTTCCAGCTTCATCCATGTCCGTACAAAGGACATGAACTCATCCTTTTTTATGGCTGCATAGTATTCCGTGGTGTATATGTGCCACAGTTGTGCACATGTGCCCTAGAACTTAAAGTATATATAAAGAAAAAAAAAGAACTGAGGCGCTCACGGGATGAGTGCCAATTCTTGCTCTGACACTCAGTGGCTGTGTCGACTCTGTGCCTTATTTTCTGGTGTGTAAAGTGGAAGTCTTAATTGTACCTACCTAAATAAGGTTGGCAGGCACATTGTAAGAACTGTGCGAAGCGTTTATTACATAAATAAACCAGCTTAATTCGTAACTCTTTAAAGGGAATTTTCCAAGAGTTGGAATTTTTTTTTTAATTTTTTATTTCTTTCTTTATTTTTTGAGATGGAGTCTCAATTCTGTTGCCCAGTCTGGAGTGCAATGGCATGATCTCGGCTCACTGCAACCTCCTCTCAGGTTCAAGCAATTCTCCTGCCTCAGCCTACCGAGTAGCTCGGATTACAGGCACCTGCCACCAGGCCCGGCTAATTTTTGTATTTTTAGTAGAGACGGGGTTTCACCATGTTGGCCAGGCTGGTCTGGAACTCCCGACCTCGGGCGATCTGCCTGCCTCGGCCTCCCAGATCGCTGGGATTACAGGCGTGAGCCACCGTGCCTGGCCATCTTTTTTTTTTTCTTAAAGAGAAGTTGTTTTATTGTTTGTTTGTTTGTTTGTTTGTTTGTTTGTTTTGAGATACAGTCTCACTCTGTTGCCCAGGCTTGAGTGCAGTGGTGCAATCTCAGCTCACTGCAGCCTCTGCCTTCCAGGTTCAAGCGATTCTTGTGTTTCAGCCTCTAACGTACCTGGGATTACAGGCACGCATCGCCACACCTACGTAACTTTTGTATTTTTACACCACACATGCCTAACTTCTGCATTTTTAATAGAGACCAGGTTTCACCATGTTGGCCAGGCTAGTCTTGAACTCCTGGCCTCAAGTGATCCTTCTGCCTCAGCCTCCCAAAGTGCTGGGATTACATGAGTGAGCCACCTTGCCTGGCCTAAGAGTTGGAAGTCTTAGTATGACATTGTAGAGTCTTTGAGTAGGTTTTTTTTTTTTTAATTGTGCAGTAGTCACTATGCTAAATGTTATTTCCACTGGAAGGGTTGAAGACGTTTCCCTTTCATTGTTGTTCATTGACTAAGAGGTCTGAGGAGGGGGACTGGAGCTTGAGAAGATTAAATTTAGGCAAAGTTACTCTAGGAATGGGAAAGGGAACTGGGTGGGAACAAAGTGAAGGCTTGCTGATGTACCTTAGAAATCCTATCTTTTTAAGAGAAGTACGTGGACACTATCTGATTTCCTGCAGGGTGCTGTGGCTGGAGACTGGAAGAAATGGTGGCTTCATCAATACTGGAATGGAGATTGCCAGGATTGTTGTTCTGGAAAAACAGAGATGAGCTATAGTTGAAATTGCTGCCATTGGGGTTCACACTAGGTAGGAAGGGAGGCAACTTCAGGAAGGAGTCAGAGAATGGAGGTAGGGGGTACAGAGGACTGAGTGCTGAAGGTTTAGGAGCTAGTAACTCAGAGTGCAGGCCAGGGACAGCACTGGCATCACCTGGGAGCTTGTTGGAAATGTAGAATCTGTCACTCCACTCCAAACCTACTGAATCAGAACACACATTTTAATAAGATTTCCAGATGATGTATATGTACATTCAAGTTTAAGGTGCACTGGTCAAGAGAGAAAAAAAAATTTAGTGTTAAGAGTATGAAAGATAACAGCAAAATAAAAGGTTAGCCTAATAGAGTAAAATACTGAAGTTTAGAGATTTTAGAGGTGATCTTCTTTCTTTCTTCTTTTTTTTTGAGATAGAGTCTTGCTCTGTTGCCCAGGCTGGAGTGCAGTGGCACAATTTTAGCTCACTGCAACCTCCACCTCCCGGGTTCAAGCAATTCTCCTTCCTCAGCCTCCTGAGTAGCTGGGATTACAGGTGCCCACCACCACGCCTGGCTAATTTTTGTATTTTTAGTAGAGACGGGGTTTCACCACGTTGGCCAGGATGGTCTCGAACTCCTGGCCTCAAATTATCTGCCTGCCTCAGCCTCCCAGAGTGCTGGGATTACAGGTGTGAGCCACCAGGCCTGGACCTAGAGGTGATCTTTCTAAGTATGGCACCATTAAAGGTAAAACCATAATAAAAAGGCTAATAATTTGAAAACATACAAATGTATGACTTCTGTACAGAAAACCTTATAAAGGTTATAAGAAGAAAGGTTTAAATCAGGTTATGAGAAAAATTACAAGCTGGAAGAAGGAATTAATGCTCTTACAAAATAAAGAATGAGCAAAGGAGATGAATAAGCAGTTCATAAAAGCAGTAACACAAATAGCTAATAAATATAGTAAAGGTTACCAACCTGGTAAGCAATCAAAGAATTACAAGTTAAAAGGGTAAAGTAATACTTTGTTTTGCTTATCACAAAGCAAGATTAAAAAGATTGACAATACCTGGAAGTAGACAGGATCTCAGGAAATGACATTTATGCTGTTTCAATGGTGTTCTAAATTAATACAATCTTTCTGGAGGGAAATCTGGGAATAGACATCAAAATTTTGTATGTGCCATTCCTTGCTAGAAATTTATGCTATAGAAGTAATTTGAAGATGTGTTGAGTTTGTATATGTTAGGAGCTTCATAAGTGCTGCTGCTTTAAATTGTGACAAAGTAGATAAAACCTAAATGTCAAACAACAGCAGATTGGTTAGATCAGTGGTTCTCAACTTGAGGCAGTAGTGCCCACAGCAGACATTTGGCAATATCTTGAGACATTTTTGATTGTCATAACTAGGGATGGGAGCTACTGGCATCTAGTGCTGATACAGAGGGCAGGGAGGCATTAAATATCCTTCAGTGCACAACACAGCCTCCCACAACAAAGAATTATTCAGCCCAAAATGTCAATAGTGCTGAAGTTAAGACACCCTGGGTTAAAGAATATTATAGCTGTACAATTAATTGTTTTTCAGCCATAATAATGTCAATGTAGATCTGCATTTATTCACTTGGAAAGACAAATTGTTCAGGCAAGAAGCAGATAATAAAAGTAAAATAAATAGTAAGATCTCATTTAGATAAAGCAAACAAAAAAAAACTATTCCCAGCAATGTGTTTCTAAGGTTACCAACATGCTGAGTGCAAATCCACGAGTTGCAATGTTTTAATTTTCTTTTTTACATCTTTCTGTATTTTCTGAAAAGTTTTTCCACCAAACATGCATTGCTTTTTTAAATTGGAAAAACAATGAAGGCATTTTAATTTAAAAGCAAAGCAGAGGAAAAAGCACAAAAGTGTTAGAGAGGACCAATGACTAATTCTGAATGAAAACAGGATCAAAATATCTTAGAGTGAATTACAAAAGTGAAGAGGAGGTAAAGATCACTGGAAATGGGAAATTAAGGAATGAAAAAGCCAGAGTGTTGGATTGGTTCTGTTTAAGGACTCTGAATTTCCCTAAGATAGTAGCAGGAATTGGGACAGAGGGAATAACTATAGTCGGGGCTAAGTACCTCAATAGATGTCAACAAGAATGAGAACAGTATAACTAGACTTTGTGACTTTCAAACTTTTTTCTTTGAAAGTGTCACAAGAAAATCTGAACAAGATAAAAGAAAAATTTTAAACTTACAAATTTTACTTACCTGGAAACAACCATTCTTAAAACACATTTAGGGATGGGGCAAGGTAGTCCCAGCTACTGAGGAGGCTGGGGCAGGAGGATTGCTTGACCCCAGGGGTTTGAGGTTGCAGTGAGCCATGATCGCATGGCACTCCATTCTGGGTGACAGAATGAGACTCTGTCTTAAAAAAAAAAAATCCCCAAACCCCAAAACAATCAAACAAACACACACACATTTAGGTATTAACCAGCGCCCTAATGTGGCACATTTGTTTCTGGTATTTCTTTATTATACACAGCACATCTAGAAACATTCTCAGAGCTAAACCTTTGAGCATGTCCTTACCTCCTTAGGATCATTTCTTAGACATGTAATTGCTAGGTTAAAAAGCATGTACACTTTTAAGACTTAAAATATTTGGCCAAGTTATACTCCTATAAAATGTCAAATGTATAATTTAAAAAATGTTAAAAAGTATTCTCATACAAATATAGAGTAAGCACAGTTCAAGTTTTAATTTTAACTTATTAATGAGGAAACCAGCAGGATAACAAAGCCAGTTCAAAGAAAGACATGAGAAAATATGTGTGTATACACACACACACACACGTATATCTATATGTGTACATATATATCTATATGTGTATATACATATATTATGTATATCTATTTATATATGTACATACATATATATGTATATGTGTATATGCATATATGTATAAATATGTGTATATATCTAAATATACATAGTACATATATGTAAGTATATAGATATTATATAAATATATCTGTAAGTATATATATAGATATTATGTACATACATCTATAAGTATATACATAGATATATGTACATACATCTATATATGTATACACATATGTATCTATATATACATTTACTACATACATATATGTATGTATATATGTACATATATCTATAATAATATATACATAATATATGTATATGTTATGTATATATGTATGTACATCCCATAATGTATATGATGTCTATACATATAGACATCATATATGTATATGATGTATATACTTATGTATATTATGTACATATATACATATAGTATATGTATTATGTGTACACATACCTATATACATATTGTATTTATATTATGTATATACATACTATATATAATATACATATGTAAATATACATCCTATATATATACATAAATATATAAAAAAGAATACTAAAATCATTCTACATTATTGCTAAATTAGATATAAATCTGATTAATGTCTTACAGGGTGATAAACCATAATGTTTGGTGCTATCTTTACAGAGCAAAATTATTTTCATCTGTGCAGGACAGAAATTATATCTCCATTGGACAAAAATATAGCATCTCACCAATTTTCTACAAACTAACATTTGAATTTACAGTTGTAAAATGTGCAAATCTGTAATAACGAGTCAGGATTCAATTCACCTTAGATGGACTGGTTAGGCAATGCCTAACATGAAAACAAATTATGCAATCATATTTTGCTTTCCAAGTTTTGAAAAATTTTTTCTGACCAAAGGTCATTCCAATTTACAGTCCTCACTGGTGATATGTGAAAATGCCTGTTTGGCTCCTCATGATTACTATTATCTCTTTTAAAAATGTTTGCCAATTTCATAGATAAAAATGAAATCTCATAATTTTAAGTTTTAGTATTAATGTGACTGAACATTTCTCTCATAGTCTTATTGAACATTTATTGTTCTTCTTTTAAAAAATAGTCTATTAATAGCTTTTGCTCATTTTTCTGGTTGTGTATTAGTCTTTTCCTTCTGGATTCATAGTTTTTTGATATATTCTTAGAAAGTTTATTCTTAAATTATAAATTAATTTATATTTTCTTCTATTTTTATTTCTTTGGTATTTTTATTTTTTCATTTTTCTTCTTTCATCTCATTTTTTAAAATTAATTTTTTTAGAGCAGTTTGAGATTTGCAGAAAAATTGAACAGAAAGTATAGGGTTCCCATATACCCTTTTCCTGCCCTACCCACATACACAGTTTCCCTTATTATTAACATCTTGGCGTTAGCGTGTCACATCTGTTAAAATTGATGAGCCAATATTGACACATTATTATTAACTAAATCTATAGTTTATATTGCATATGCTATGAGTTTTTACAAATGTATAATGGCATGTATCCAACATTACAGTATCATACAGAATAATTTCATGGCCCTAGTGATCCCCTGTGCTCCACCTATTCATCCCTCTCTCCCTCCCCCAGATTTATATTTGTAGTCCACTTGGAATTTGTTTTCATCTAGTATGTGAACTATGTGTTAATTGTGTGAAGACATTGTTCTGTCAGGACAGATTCCAATCCTTAACCCCTACCTACGAAAGGTTCTCCTGAAGTGTATATGCCCAGAGCACCAGGCCAGGCAACACATCCTTCTTATTACCAAATGGGGCTTTGGTCTCCAAACGTTTGAGTAGGACCACCATCCAAATGAGAAGGGCACTGAGACTTTTAGCAGTTCTCAATGAAACAACAAGAAGAGAACACCTTAACATGTTGGAATTGGGTTGCAAATTTTTCTTTATGATAAAAGATGGCCCTTTATTCTGAGACCATGTCCTTCCTATATTTTTTAAATTATTGTGCTATAAAACATATAAAATTACCATCTTAACTGTTTCTAAGTGTACAGTGCAGTTGTGTTAACTCTATGCACACTGTTGTGCAATAGAGCTCTAGAACTTTTTCAAACCTTGCAAAACTGAAACTCTATACCCACTGAACAACAACCCACCTTTTCTCTCTCTCTCCTGCTCCTGGCTACCAACATTCTTTCTAAAAGTCTGACTAGTTTAGATTCCTAATATAAGTGGAATCATGCAATATTTGTCTTTTTGTGACTGGCTTATTTCTGTTCCATTGGTCAATTTGTGTGTTTTTGTGCTACAGAAGTAATTTGAAGATGTGCTGAGTACGTGTGTGTGTGTGTGTGTGTGTGTGTGTGTGTGTATATAAAGCTAACACATCAGCTGAGAAACAATGTCAGGAAAAATCTAAACATTTGAAATTAATTTCAGTTCAGGAAGTCACCCCAAATAGTGTGAGTGAAGCATCAAATGGTCGCTCAGAAATAACTCGCCCAATAAGGTAAAACTTATTTTACATTATTTTGTTTTTTGTTTGTTTGTTTGTTTTTGAGACAGGGTCTGGCTCTGTTGCCCAGGCTGGAGTGCAGTGACGTGATCACAGCTCACTGTAGCCTTAACCTCCCAGGCTTAAGTAATCCTCCCACCTGAGCCTCCCGGGTAGCTGGGACTACAGGTGTGTACCACCACGCATGGCTATTTTTTTGTGTATTTTTTGTAGATACAGAGTCTCACCATGTTGCCCAGGCTGGTCTCGAACTTCTGGCCTCAAGTGATCTGCCTGCCTAGGCCTTAAAGACACATTTTCTTGAAATTTCACAAGTAGAATATAATGCCTTATACTAATGCTGCTCAATGATTCTTTCTATTGTCTGCTGCTTCTCATGTATCTGAGGGAGTTTGGGCATTTATCTTAAGCTGGGATCTCCTGGTACCTCCCCCAGTACTAAACCTACCTCCTTCAAAGTAGCTCCCCCAACTCAGATCAGTACCCCCAGCAAAACCGGATTTGTTTGTTTTTGATAAAAAAGGAAAGTGACCTTGCAATTCTTCAGAAAGGAAAGATTGCTATTTATAGCTAGAGATAAGAAAATTGTTAGTGAAAAGCTGGATGGTTTTTGTTAAGGTCCAAGATGATCCTTTCCCTAAACTACCACGGGTGATGTCTAAACAGTGGGACTCAGAGATTGAAAGAATATGTCTCAACTCAAGCATTCTCTGTTTAAAACAAGGACTCTGTAGTCTTGGCTGTGCATCTTTTAAAAATTGTTCCTTTATTTTTTTATTAGTAGACTTTGTTTTTTAGAACTGTATGTCTTTTTAATAAGCATTTCTCTAGAAATTGTGGCTGTGTTTTCTGTTTGTTATGCAAGTTGTCTATCAAAAACCAAACAGAGTAGTTCTTTTATTTTGGATGTGCAACTGTAAATGCATTAGTATTCCTTTGAGAGATTTAGAAAGGATTTGTATACACATTTGTGTTCGTGATAAATTTCTGAATCCTAGAATTTTTCATGGCACAAAGAAAGAAAAGGACTAAAAAAATGCTATCTACATAATCAAAAAGCGTACCATAGGAAGAATATAAAAATACACAGCAATGACTATAAAATCATGCACCGTTATCACACTATTGTCCCTTGTTGGCACTATGTCACTGTGAGAGTAAACCTATTTCTGCTTTGCCCCACTCTCTGATTTTTAATTATTCATTCATTTCCTTATCAATTATTTATTGTTTACTCTGTGTCAGGCACTGCACTTGCTCCTAGGGAATACGACTGTAAACAAGACAGAACAAATCTCTGCCCTTAGGTAGCTTACATTCTACAAGAGCCAAAAATCTCCACTAAAGAATTTCACATGTTCAAAGAAACCTGTGATCTTTCTTGGGGAGCTGGCATAATATTACTTTCTGCTTCTTGTGTCTTATCCCCTAGTGGTTTGTACCACATTCTGTACTGCACAGCATGACCTTCTTAGCTTCACATTCTATCTACTGTTGGTGAAGCAAAATTAAAATGTAATCAGATCAAAGTTTGACACTCCAGTATGCCCTAACACATCAGCTGAGAAACAATGTCAGGAAAAATCTAAACGTTTGAAATTAATTTCAGTTCAGGAAGACACCCCAAATAGAGTGAGTGAAGCATCAAATGGTGTCATTTTTTGTTTCCCCCATGGCATCTAGGTCAGAGCTCAGTGCATGCTTGCTGATTTATAAGTGTTATTCTAGGAAGAATATAGCATCAAGAGATTATATGTAATAACTAAAATAGTAAATTATTAAAAGTAAGGTCTGTGGAACCACACCATCTTAGCTTAAACCCCAGCTCTGTCGCTTACTGTGTGCCCTGAGCAAGTCACTGCACCTCTTGGTGCATTCATGTCCTTTTCTGTAAACTGGGCTAACTCATGGTATTGATCTTAGAGGATTATAGTGACCTTACAGGGTTGCATATATTAAATGAGTTAACATATACAAAGAGTTTAGAACAAACAGTGTCTGGCCTGTTATAAATGCTTTATAAGTCCCAAGCTGAATTCATTTTTATTATTATTACCATCTAGTGAAGATGAACAAGACAGAAAGGGATACAACAGATAGTATATGTTTATATTTATCTTATTTATTTCCACATCCCAGCTCCTTCCAACATATTTGCAATAGTGGAATAGACCTTTATCAACCATAAATTTGTGATAATTTACAATTACAAAGCAATTGTTACAATAGTGACTTTTTCTCTTAAACTCATGGTCTTTGAGTGCAAAATAATGCTTACTTCTCCTACTATACTTTGTTTATATTATAGATTTGCAAGAAAGCTTCTTGGCTCTAATAAGGCCGATTTCCAAAGCAAAGACAGTCCTATTTAGCTGCATTTAATCTGGATTGTGTGATATCAAACAATCTGACATAACAGCAGATGAAAGTCATACTCTTGTCTCTTAGGAAACAATATACTTACTGAAATTTATTTCTTTTCTAGCTTTGTTTCAAATGTCGAGAAAACCATTTCTGGATTTTTTTTTTTTTAAAAACTGTATATTTGAGAAAGAATCTGCCATCTTTGTTAATACCCTGTACCTGTAGCAGAAAGAAAGGCAGGGGGAGTGTGGGAAGAAGGGAAAAATGTATATATAGCAGAGTGACAAAGAGACTGTTTGAAGATAGTTAATAATTTGTAAGTTCATCTAATCATTTACTTTTCAATGACCCTTTTGAAAACAGCATACATCATATCTATTCAACAATGACCTCTGGAAAGTCAAATTATAAATATACTCAGACAATAGCCAAACAAATTCTTTTGTCTCCTCATGACTCATGATTAATTGGTTCATTCATTCCTTCTGTTGATAATTATTTAATGAACATCTAATAATATGCTAAGCACTATGAATACCATGGTGTAAAAGAGAAACATAGTCCTCACTTTGATAGAGTTCATATTGTATTGGGAAAGATGATACAGAGATAAGCAGTCACTCAGTTGCCATTTTGATGCCTATTACAGAAAGAAAATTACAGGATATTATGAGACATACTATCAGAACGTACTTACTTTTTTTCTTTTTAGACAGTTTCTTGCTCTGTTGCCCAGGCTGGAGTGCAGTGGTATAATCATAGCTCACTGAAGCCTTGAACTTCTGGGCTTAAGCAATCCTCCCATCTCAGCCTTCTGAGCAGTTGGGACTACAGACACATGCCACAACACCCAGATAATTTATTTTTTGTAGATATGGGGCCTCACTTCGTTGCACAGGATGGTCTCAAACTCTTGGCTTCAAGTCATCCGCCCAGCTCAGCCTCCCAAAATACAGGAATGATAGGCATGAGACACCATGCCTGGCTCCTTCACCTTGTTTTTTGTTTTTTTTTTTTAAATTACAATAAAGAAGTGACAAGGCAGCAGAGCAGAAAGACTGGAGTTACCACTCAAATCAGTCTTTCTGAGAACTCAGACGTTAGGATTTTTAAAGATAGTTTGGTGGGCGGGGACTAGGTAATGGGTACTGCTGATTAGTTGGGAAAAAAATCATAGGGGTGTGGAAAACTGTCCCAGTGAGCTGAGTCTGCCTCTGGGTGGGGGCCACAGGACCAGTTGAGTCATGAGTCATGAGTCCAGGTAGGATCAGTTGATGGCCAGAATACAAAAATCTGAAAAACATCTCAAGAGACCAATCTTAAGTTCTACAGTAGTGATGTTATCTATAAGAGCAATTGGGGAAGTCACAAATCTTGTGACCTCTGGCCACATGACTCCTGAGCAGTAAGGGATTATAAAAGTATACCTATACTTTAGCAGAATTCAGGTCCCTCCAATAACCCTAATCTTGTGGCCTTTCATTAGTTTTCACTCTCTAAGCAAGGAGGAGATTAGTTTTAGGGAGGGACTGTTATCATCCTTGCTTCCAAGTGAAACTATAAACTAAATCCCTCCCATGGTTAGCTCTTTGTGCCCCCAGGAATTAGCAAAGACAGCCAGCCTGTGAGACTAGAAGCAAGATGGAGTCAGTCAAGTTAGACTTTTCTTGCTGTCATAATCTTTGCAAAGGTGGTTTCAGTTCCCTCCCTTGTGCTTCAGCACACCTCAATCCTGAGGTGTGAGCTGGGGAGATGGGAAAAGGCTGACAACTGCTCTTCCTGTTGACAGGGGGTATAGTTGGGGCAAGGGTTGCCCCCAAGGTAAGAGGAGTGAAACCATTTTGCAGTTGTCTGTATGTATTCCCAGGTGCCTTGTTGGGTCCCCAATGTTGGTATAACAAAAACGTTAGTATTCTTATCCACATCGTTAGTATAGCACTTAAGAGAACAGTAAACTACAAGAGACCTAATGCAAGGTGTGAAAGTCTTAGCTTCAGGAGTCCTTGCAGAACTGATCTGAAGCCTTGAGGGATTCAGGTAAATATCCCCAAGAACCAATCAGATGTGAGTCATTAGTATAGGCTCACAAACAATGGACAAGGCTAGAATTTTTTTCTTTTCTTTTCTTTCTTTCTTTTTTTTTTTTTTTTTTTTTTTTGAGACAGTGTCTCACTCTGTTGCCCAGGCTGGAGTGCAGTGGCATGATCAGAGCTCACTGAAGCCTCGACCTCTAGGGCTAAAGTGATCCTGCCATCTCAGCCTTCCAAGTAGCTGGGACTACAGGTGTGCACCACCACACCCAGCTAATTTTTAAATAATTTTTTGTAGAGATGGGGTCTCCCTATGTTGCCCAGGCTGGTCTCGAACTTCTGGGCTCAAGTGATTCATCCTCCTGCCTCGGCCTCTCAAAATGTTGGGATTACAGGTGTGAGCCACTGTGCCCAGCCAAGGCTAGAATCTAATAACAGGCATGCTATAGGTTTTTTTTGAAACATAATTTTTCCCTCTCCAGTTTTCCCCCATTTTTACCAAAGACAAATCATAGCAGGACCAATTTATTTGCAAAATAAGCTTTGGTTTTATTTATACTAGGCCTAATTGTTTGCATGAAACATAACATGAATAATTATTTGCTATATAGGCCTTTTTAAAAAATTGGCTTTGCTGGATGTTTTTTTAATAAGGAATCTCAGATTAGACCTTTTAAAAGCATCTTGAGCCCAGCCAAAGATTTATTTGTGCCTGCAGATACCTGTATGAATTGAATGAATTCCTCATTTCTAGAGGTACCAAAATAACTTGGGATTCCTAGGCCTATCAGAAAGGGACATTTTTACTTACCACAGGTTGGGAACCTTGTAAAAACAAGGTGGCCAGTTTTTCCAAGGAATTTTTATCAGCTCTGTAGCTCAACCTCAATTCCTCAAAGCAGTCTGAAAAGTCTGAAAACATGTCATTCCAGTCAAAGCCTTGGTAAAATAACTAGTGTCTCTAATAGTGTCCTGTTACAAAAGAAAACAGATGCTTACTGAACTTATGCAAATAGCGATACTACCATAAATTAAGTATACGTAGACATAGTTTCCAAATTACAGAGAAATAAGGTAGAGAGAAAGAAATGCGCTCCAAAATTTGCTCACTGGAGTGTATTTTACTCAGTTGTTAAAAGCTGTAAATAGCTCCAAATAAAAAAGTTTTCTTGACTCTGAAAAACACAAAGAATAAGCAACGTTTTAAGCAAAAAATCATAAAAAGATTATTTTGGTCTTCTGTTTGCTCAGTCCATGCAAATAACTCCTGTTCTGCTCAATATTCATGAACACATAAGCTCTCCATGAAAGTCCTAGAAGTTTTTTCCCTCTATTCCAGTGGCACAACCTCCAAAGTCATCAGAAACCTGCATTCAAGAGCACAGAAGGTGCTCATTGAGTTGAAATGGAGTTAAGTGGAGTTCAAAAAAGCTTCCAGAAGATGGATCTGTTTAAGCTGTAACTTGAAGGGTGAAGAAATAGAAAGTCCAGGCAGAGGAAATAGTATGTTTTATTTTACATAGTCATGTAGTTTTTATCAGATATCTTTGCACACATTAGAAATAATTTTGAGGCCGGGTGCAATGGCTCATGCCTGTAATCCCAGCACTTTGGGAGGCCAAGACACATAGATCACCTGAAATCAGGAGTTCAAGACCAGCCTGGCCAACATGGCAAAACCATATCTCTACTAAAAATATGAAAAATAGCCAGGCATGGTGGCATGCACCTGTAATCCCAGCTACTCAGGAGGCTGAGGCAGAAGAATCACTTGAACCTGGGAGGCGGAGCTTGCAGTGAGCTGAGATCGCGCCATTGCACTCCAGCCTGGGCAACAGAGTAAGACTCTGTCTCAAAAAAAAAAAAAGAAAAGAAAGAATTTTTATATAATGACTAATTTTATTTATTATTATTTTTTTTGAGACAGGGTCTTGTTCTGTTGCCCAGGCTGGAATGCAGTTGCACAATCAGGGCTGACTGCAACCTTGACTTCCCAGGCTTAAGGGCTCCTACTGCCTCAGCCCCCGAAGTAGCTGGGACTACAGGTGTGTGCCACCATGGCCAGCTTTTTTAAAATTTTTTTTTATTTTAGTAGAGACAAGGTCTTGCTATGTTGCCCAGTCTAGAAATTAGATTTTTATAAAAATTTATACTAATGTCATAATTTCAACCCATTTCTAGCATACCCACTCGCCAAACAGCTCTAATAGCTGTTCCCCATCCCAAAGCAAACTCTCAAGATCCAAAATAGTCTAACAAACAAACAAATAAGACCCAAACTTTAAGGACTTTGAGCTTTGCCAAGATAGGCTTTTATCTAACTCCTATTGGGAATGATATTCAGGCTACAGATGAGTTATTTTAGTTTTGCCTTTCTAGAGTCAACAGAAACACTGAAGCTTAAGTTTTCTAACTGTCCCCTTGATCTGTTCCCTCGAGCACCCTGGATTTTATTATCTGACTATAATAGCTAGAATATAGGGGTCAGATAAATACCGCTAACAATTTATTTTTTGGAGTTTATATTGAAAGTGTGAAGCTATCTGTTTTATGACCTTAAATTATCATTCGTGAGGAAGATGGAAGAGAGATGAGGGCCTGAGGGGGTAGGCATTAGGGAAATGAGAATTTTTGACATGAGAGACTGACATGAAAAAGTAACCCCAAAATATTCAGGTAATAAAACCAATGCATTATTGATCAGCCCATCAGATTATGTGTTGTTTAGTTTCTAGTGTCTGTCTTTTAGAGTATATAGGGAGTTGGGAAGGCTTTGGGGGTTTTGGGGGGAGGGTAGGGAGGAGGTCCCTCTACTCCATTTATCATCTCTCTTGAACTGCAGAATTGGGTTTTAAAATCCAAGTTAGCGTAACCCCCAGTCAGAATGAAGCTTGGTTGCCTGCATATAGCAACAAAGTTAGGAGGAAATAGTCTCAATGATTAGACTCTCATCATCTCAGTAATACGAGAAATTGCAATTAAGGGTAATTCAGTAAGGATTTGGAAGCCTGAAATTGCTCCAGAAGTAAAAAGTCTTGCTAGACTCCTGCATCTTTTGGTTCAGTTGCCATTTATTGCTGCCACACAACCCAGTAAGCATGCCAATGTATACTATGGCTAAATATGATGCTCTAACCTTGGACCATTGCTCAGTAGCCAGTGGCAGATTGGAGTGGAGGTAAAAGTACTCATAACTTGGTGCCCCACAGTTATTTGTGGGAATACATATTTCCTCCACTAAATGGTAAGCTCCCGGAGGACACAAAATATACTTTATTAATTCCTTTATCCTCCATCAGGCCTATCAAGTATTTTGTATGTATTAGAAACTATTTTTGTTGTTAGAAGTACAGATTCTGGGCTCACACCTGTAATCCTAGCACTTTGGGAGGCTGAGGTGGGTGGATCACTTGAGTCTAGAAGTTCAATACCAGCCTAGCCAACATGGCGAAAGCTCATCTGTACAAAAAATACAAAAATTAGTTGGGCATGGTGGCACACACCTGTGGTCCCAGCTACTCAGGGGGCTGAGGCAAGAGGATCGCTTGAGCCCGGGAGGTCAAGGCTGCAGTAAGCCGTGATTGTACCACAGCACTTTAGTCTAAGCAACGGAGCAAAACCCTGTCTCAGAAATAAGTAAATAAATTAAAAAGTACAGATTCTGGAGCCCAGTAGATAAGGATTCAAATTCTGAGTGCCAACATGACTGTGGTTTGGTGTTTAAAGTTGTAATTAGGAATTCACCACTTACCACCTTCATCCTCTTCCTGGCATTAACTCCTGTAAGCTTCAGTTTCTTCTTTAGAAATGTGGATAATTGATAGCACCTACCTCATAAGGAGTTTGAGAGGGTTAAATGAGATTGTTCACATAAAGCACTCAACAATGTGTCTGGCATTCAGTAAATGTTGCTATTATCAATGGAGGTTGTGCAGTAGGTTTTCAAAGAAGGTGTATTAGGTTGTTGAATTATGGATCATGCTTGTGGTGCACAAGCAAGCGAACACAGTTGAGGTACAGCAATGGAAAATTGCAGGTGAGGCTGGCTTCAGAACGACATGCCCAGGGACTCAAATGATGGCACCCAGACCTGGTTTCTCTCATTTCATAATCAGTGTTGCATTCACTGTGTTTGCTCCATTCTCAGACAGCCTCTCATCTCCAGGTCAAGACCTGGAAGAGTCTGCTTCCCTTTAAGTCAAATCAAAGCTTCAGCTAGGTCTTGTTGGCTTGCATTGGGCGAATGAAGATTATGCACCTGTGCCTGAGCCATCCTCTGAGGCCAGAGGATGCAGTGTGCTTGGGCCTTGTTCACGTGCTCATGCCTGGAGTGAGGGGGCAGACAGCTACACCTAAACCATATTGACTAAGAGTGGAGGCAGGGCTGGTTCCTCAGAGGGAAATTAAGGTGCATGTTCTAAAAGAAGGTGAATAACTGCTGTGTAGAAAAAGGTTTTGAAAGGTGGTAAATAATTAATATAAAGTAGCATTGATGCTTCAAGAAGATATACCACTAAGGTATATCTTCATTCGCCCAATGCGCGCCAACAGGGTATTGAAAAAGGTAGGAAATAATTAATATACTACATTATGTTATATATTAGTGTTATAAATCTTGGGTTTCAGGAAATGGAAATCTTATTTTGTAATTTGTAACAGTAAAGCAAGTAGGAGAGAAAGGGAAATAGATTTATATTGTATCAATTTAGCTAAACTGGAACTGGGTTTCCCTGAATTTTTTTCCCAGCATGGTTGTGGATTGATTGGGCCACAGCAGAAGCTTTGTCCAAGATTTGGAAGGTGGGAGTTAAGTGCCTATTCTTTTTATGCTCAGAAGGTCAGTCCAGGGCATTAGAGCCACTGTAGCTCACATACATTGTTGCTTCTCTGCTGGCTCACCTGACAGGCATGAGGCAGCAGCTGGGTCCACCAGCCCTTATAGAGCCTGCCAGATTGCTCCTTCAGCTTCCGCGACCCCCAGGCCAGGTGTGTATTTACTCCTGACTAAGGTGCCGCTGTTCTTCAAAGTGATCCTCACGTGGAAGTGGTAGGCCTGGAGGTAGGGAGATACCATCATGGGTTCCAGTCTGTCTGGAGGCCCAGCTCTTCCCCACAGGCTCCAGTTTGTCTTTACCTTCTCCAACTTCATGTCCATCTTTCCTTGCCAACTACCTTCCCTGCAGACTGCAGACCCAAGCACCGGGTGCAGAAGCCATAGCATAGAGCTTTTAATGATCTCCCACAATTGCATAAGGTCCAATCCTTAAAACAAATCCATTAGTCTATATCACTCCTAGTGGTTCTGCTTCTCTGATTGAATTTTGGAACATGGAATGAAACATATGGACTTTAAAGTCTGACAGCCTGGCTGTACCACTTACAACTGTGTGATCTTAGGAAACTCACTCAACCTCTCCGAGCCTTACTTTCCTCAAGTGTTAAATGAGAACACTAATCCTTTCCTTTTAGGATTGTTGTGATATAATAAATAAAAATCACTTAACAATGCTCAAACTTCAACAGCATTCAACAATGTTTTTGAGGCTTTCAGGTTTTGGGAATACATTGAAGAACAAGGCAAGCATATCCCTGACCTGATCATGCTTAGGGTTTAGCTGGGGATACAGGCAAGTTAACTAGAGTGTGGTAAGTACAGTGTGGTAAGTATTCCTACAAGGAAAAGAAGGAGTAGGATGGGAGGACTAGCTTCATCTTGGTGGTGAGTAGGGGAGAGGAGTATGTCAAGGAAGGATTCCCAGAGGAAGTGGCATCTACACTGAGCCCCAGGGACAGATGGGAATCTTCTGTCATTTTAGGAAGAGGGTATTATGTGTGCAAAGCTGATAGGCAAGGGAAAGCCTGGAGGTTCTCATCATCGTTAGGGTTCATATTGCAGATGCCAAGTGCTGGCCGTGCCAGCCCCCACCACCAGCGAGTGGGTCGTATGTCCAGAGCAGGGAGGAGGCATGGAAACTGGGAGGTGCCAGAGCCCAGGGAGCAGAGCAACCAGGAGCCCGGGGGCCTCATGGAATAACCTAGACTGGCTGTGAGCACACCCTGGACTGGGAATGGAAATATAAGGCTATTTTAGGGCAGTGTTCTAGCAAGTAAACATGACTTCCTAAGAAGAGGAAAAGGACAAAGGGCAGAAAGGAAGGAGCCAGATGCCATCAGTTACACAATGTGCCAGTGAAGGCCATGGGAAACCATGTGAGGGGAGGGAGGAAGCTGCAATCCGTGTGTGGGTTTTTGCTGAATTGGAGTTTCCTCTCTCCTCTCCGGGACATGTTGTGCTATGCCATGTTGTGCTATGGCATTTGAGATTATCTGGGGGCCAGAAGGACTTCATATCCAAGTGATAATAAGGGTATATCCTCTTGAAGCATCAATGCTACTTAAAGATTGCTTTTTTGAGGGAAAGCCTATCTTATTTTAAAAATGTATCTAATAGATATTTCATAGAACAGAATGCAAATATGTTTTGGGTTTTTGCTTAGGATAAAATATGGGCCTTCAAGGAAATGCCTCCACTGGGGAGAGCTGGTCCCTGCTCTTCCCTTAGACCCAGGTTAGCCAGTATGAGGTTACTTTGTTCTGGCATTGAGAGTACTTGGCCAGAGAAAGAGAAGTTTAAAGCCCAGGTGAGAGTCTAGCCTGAACTTTCTTTTCTCTGAAGGCTATGTCTTGCCAGCCCCCCATCTCCAGGACGGGCTACATGATCTGTGGGACCCAGTGCAAAATGAAATTATTAAAAATTTCAAGATGGGGACAGCAGTGCACTAAAAGCATGGGACCCTTCTAAGCAGAGGGCTCTGAGTGATCGGGCAGGCCCCACACCTATGAAGCTGGCTCTGCCCACCTCCCTCCCCTCATCCCAGCACCTATCTGGGACATTTCTGAGGTACAGCACCAGCTAAAGAGAGAAGAGATAGAGACTTTCCCCTTGTATGTCTTATTTATAATCTTTTCATGCCTCCCACAGGATCTCTGTCTTCTCCAAATTGTTGGGAAGATGGAGGACAGGGCATGATTCCATGGAGGTTTCATTTTGTTGATTGGTTCTGCAGATGTCTTTGATGCCCGCCTGAGTTTCTTCACAGAAGTAAGTAGAAAGAGAAACCCTTTGTGGCCAACCATGTATCCCTCCCCTGTGCCTACAGGTGGATCTGGAGAACATGAGGCTTGAGCTCTGTTGCCTATGTTACACCCTGGCCTATCTGTGTGATTCTGGCTAAGGGTGAATGGTAGGATATTTTCATCCAAAATTTACAGGTGACCTAACCAAAATCACTGTTTCCCAAGAAGGTAATGTCAGGCCAGGAAGGCAGGTACTGGTTCACAGAGAACAGCCTTCCATGTAAGTTATAACTGTGGGAGCCAGCACGGGACATTCATACCCATTGCTCCTACGGAATACTTGGCTCGATATTAGAAAGGAGCTCAAGGTAGTACACTTCACGTGCCCCGGTAACGGTGAGCCTCCTTCAGCAGGTATGTTTTTTCTCTCTCTTTTTTTTTTTAAGCAGGAATGGAAGAACCCAAGGATTTCCTTTTGTGGTTAAAAATCTTACAGCAGCAGTTCTTTCATATTTCCGTGCATGGAATATTCTTCCTCCTGACTCTTCTGTTGGAATTCTATCTAGCTTTCAGGGCCTATTTCAGAAGCCACAATCTCTTCAATAATCTTTTCTGACAGTCCTATATCCCTGTATTTATTTTTTCCTTATTTTGTAACATCTTCTAAGATGTTTATTCCATAATTTACAAAATACCTACTATGTACTTGATATACTTATCATTCTCTGTTTTGAATTCATTTATTCATTCACAAACATTGCCCCATGAGTGCCTTCTCTGCCCAGGTGCTATGTAACAGTGGCAATCCAGACAAGCTCAGTCCCTGCCCTGATGGTGGTGCAGCCTGGAGGCAGAGAGAGTTCTTGTTGGTGACAAGGGCTACTTGTGACTCATCTGTGTGTCTCCTTCAGTGGCAGGCACAGCCTCTTCTGTTTACTATCTGCTCAATAAAAATATTCGTTGAATCAAATGGAACATGATATGATTCCAGTTGCACTTTGTGACAAGTGAAATAAAAGTCTGTCACAATTCTAGACAAATGTTTTGCTAGTTGTGGGATGGGTTATAATATCAATGCCTTCACCACAGAAGTCGTTGCTGTGTGTTTATGGTGGCTTTGTCAGCATTACAACATAGAAATCCATCAGGCGTGAGTTATTCCCAGCCAGATTTTCTATTTTTGTTAGGCTTTTTTTACAATTGCTTTTATTAGTTATTCCTTCATGATGTCTTGGAGAGCCACCCCATAAAGTTATTCATGCTGGTTAATTTAGGAGCTCCTTCATGGCATTTCAAGATTTACCAGCTTTGTAGGTGGTGATAGAAATGTCATGAAATGTTTTTGTTGTGTATTTTCTCTGTGCCACATCATTTAGAAAAATAAATAAAAACTTTTAAGAACATCATATACTGCTAGTCTAGCATGGCTTTGGGGGTATTGCCCAACCTGGAAGCGTATGACATACATTCCTTCAGTCCCCTCACTCTGTTCCCATCTCTCTGAAACTGCCCTATAAAGGTTGCCAAAGACCTCCAAGGAGCACGTATTTTGTCTGCCTCTGCGGCAGCCTCTCATCAGTACTGGGCATAGTTTACACTCCCTCTCCTTGAAGCACTACCCTCTCTTGGCTTCTGAGACACACACAGTCTGGATTTTTATCTCTCTCAGGCTCCTTTGCTGACTTCTCTCCTTCCCCAAGTGAGGGCCTTCTTGGCTCTTTGCCTTCTCTGTGTACCCCTCTCCTTAGATAATCTCATCCAGCCCCTTGGCTTTAACTCCCATCTATGTGCCAGTGACCCCTGATTTCAATTTTCATCCCTGACCTCTCCTCTGTGCCCCAGATTGACATATCTCAATGCTCACTTGACATTTCTACTTGGATGTTTAATAGGCCTCTCAAACTCAACATTTTAAAAAAGCAATTTTTTTTTAGCTTTCTTAGGTAGTGTGTGTTTATATCTTGGCTTCTGATCATGAGAAATGCAAACTACTGCCATCTAATTTTCAAACAGTAATACCACCTTACATTACAGTTGAAAAGTACAGATGAAAAGTCCCCTCATCCAGACACAGGTGTCTGCAGCAGAAGCCATGTGCAGTACGTCTGGTCCAGCCACAGCCTCACATGGAGCCAGCACCTGTGCTGGTGCCTGGAGCTGCCTGCCCTGCAGTAGCAGCCTGCATGCCTGGCTGTGTGCAGTGGCTGGACCCTGCGCTTGCTTGCCCACACACCCCTTGCTGCTCCACATCTGGCTCATGTTTGGCAGGTGTGGAATCCGGGCCAGTAGCACAAGCTGAGCACAGCCTGCTGGGCCGAGTGGGCAGAACGAGCCCAGGAGGCCCGAGTAAAACTCAGGCAAAGGTGCCGCCAGCCACAGAGGCTTCCAGCTGGAAAAGTGACACCCCTAAGGATCCCAGGACACTGACACCTACTCGCTTAGTGATTGTGGATATAATTTTAAATCTTTACGAAGCTCATTTAAAAAAATTTGTAAAACAAAGTACTCAGCATGCTGCCTGGTGCGTAGTAGAAGTCCAGTCAATGGAAGCTTAGAAATGCCAGGACCACAGAACCGTGGGTGTCACAGCCCTGGGTTCAGGAGCCCCCAGGTCTGTGCTCCCCAAAGGGCCGCAGCTCTTCTCTTCTTCTTGTTGCTTACAACATGGTGAGTGTGTGTGGGGGTGGGGGGGGCATGTTTCAGCCCTGTTTAATTTATACCTCTTTTAGTCCTGCCACTTGGTGGGTCCTGAGTTCTTGTGCTGCATCCAGAAAGAATGAGGTACTCAAACAACTGGAGGATGAGCAAGGGAGAGAGGAGCTTCACTGAGCAGCAGAACAGTTCTTGAGGAGGCCCAAAGTGGGTAGCTCCTATCCGCAGACAGGTTGTCCTGAGGTCTGTGCAGCCCTCAGCTGAGAGGAGACCCAGAGCAGGTAGCTCCTATCCTCAGGCAGGTCATCCCATGTCTGCCTGAGTCTGGCTGAGTCTGGGGTTTATACAGGCTTTAGAGGGGAGAAAGTGTGTATGGATTGGTCCATGGGTGGCCATGGGTGTCCAAGAAAAAGCACCATAAGTTCTCATTCCAGTCTGCAGAACTGAAAGCCGAGCCCCCAGGCTTCAGGCCGTCCCCAGCTTGGAGGTGGGGCTTCACTGAGTACCTGCCCCTTTCCACCCAGGAGCCTGTCTGCCTCCTGCCACCATCAACCTGCCCTCCACGGCACCCACAGTGCCCAGGCTGTTCCTGCTAAGGGGCTCCTGCAGGCCTACACTGCTTTCCATGCTCGTCAGTGCCCAAAGTGTGGAGGGGTCCTAGGTGGCAGGGTGCTGGCATGTCAGTGCCTCAGAGCATGCACACTTGGCCAAGTCATGTCAGCACCCAGGTTTGGCCACAGTTTGCTCCAAAATCGGAGCAGGTGCCAGGAGCAGGGAGAGGTTAGACAGTGGGAGCAGTCACCTCTGAGTCTGCAGGGGCAGGGGGAATTCCTGGGCCCCAAGAGTGCAGGGATGCCAGGGTCTGTAGCCAGGGCTGGGCAGCTGCAGCTGCACCCAGGAGGGCAGGGATCCCATCCCGCCAACTTGGAAGGGTCTGTTCCCGGCTCCCACTGGCTCCATGGAGCCTGCTGCCCCAGCCACGCCTCCCCCACTACAGCTGGCATCATGGCAGCAGCCACTCCACACAGGCCACTGCTGCCATCACCAGCACTTGGATTCAAACCTAGGTCTGTCTGACTCCAAAACCTGGACTCCTTGCACAAAATTACCTTGTTTAATCATCACAACCCATTGGCCGAAGGACCTGTGCTTGATTATCCCCATTTGCCCAGTAAAAAACAGACAGGTTAATGATTTGCTCCACACATAGAACAAGTTATCAGGAGCCAAGGTTAGAACCTTCCTTCCCACTCTTCCGTGTTTTTTCAGAGCACCAAATCACAGTTCACATGTTACGTTGTAAAAGCTCTATTAATGGCAGTTCCATTTTACTTATGGATAGACATAAAATGTGATTTCTGAGAATCTTAAACATTGCGATAAATATGGCTTAGCTTCAACACAGGTCTGGTAAATTCCTGTTTGTTCCAGTTCACCTATGAATCAGGTACTGTTTCTACCCCTTTATTGGTTCCAGAATCCTCTCACAAGTCCTATGAACAATGGTGCTAATAACATAAGGGCACAAACACCCTCCTCGGCCTTTATCCTGTCTTTGGCTGCCCTGACGCCATCACCAGACAATCAGCAGACCACCCCGAGGAAGGGTAGACATCATCTTATCTGGGTTTTATTCCTTTATTTGTAAAATCGTAGAGATTGTATCATAAAAATCCAGCAAGAAGGTCTCATGTCCTTGAATCCCACTATTCAAAGCAGGTTCCCAGAGGAGAGCATCATTTTGTGTCCTGGCAAGAAGGTCTCTTCTTGAAGCTGCTGACATGGTATCCTCAAACCTGTATTCCAGAAATGGTGTCTGTGATGTGCTGTGACCAAGCAGTGATTCTCAGAAAAAAAAAAAAAAAGTGGTCATGGACACAGCTCTCTGGTGATTCTTTATTCAGCTAAGGGGGCACCATACTGTTCCTTTAGTAGCATCTCCATGATTCAAATTCCCTTCTGAGCTCCCTGTCTTAAGAATGTGCTGGCAAAAGTTTCCAAAATGCAGTTGAGAAATACAGCTCCAGTGACTGAAATCTTGCCTTTTTCAATGAGTTCTGTCCAATTTGGATTTTCCACACTTTCCCAGAAGACTGACTTTTCCTTCCAAAATGCATACTGTGTCCACATAAGGCAAAGACTCCATATAATCATGTTTCTTTCTTGAGGATTGAGCCATGACTCCTCTTTTAATTGGATGTTAGATACTAAAAAGGGGATTATTATTATTATTATTATACTTTAAGTTCTAGGGTACATGTGCACAATGTGCAGGTTTGTTACATAGGTATATATGTGCCATGTTGGTTTGCTGCACCCATCAACTCATCATTTACATTAGGTATTTCTCCTAATGCTGTCCCTCCCCCAGCCACCCACCCCCTGACAGGCCCCAGTGTGTGATGTTCCCCGCCCTGTGTCCAAGTGTTCTCATTGTTCAGTTCCCACCTATGAGTGAGAACATGTGGTGTTTGGTTTTCTGTCCTTGTGATAGTTTGCTGAGAATGATAGTTTCCAGCTTCATCCATGTCCCTGCAAAGGACAAAAACTCATCCTTTTTTATGGCTGCAAAGTATTCCATGGTATACATGTGCCACATTTTCTTAATCCAGTCTATTATTGATGGACATTTGGGTTGGTTCCAAGTCTTTGCTATTGTGAATAGTGCCGCAATAAACATATGTGTGCATGTGTCTTTATAGTAGCATGATTTATAATCCTTTGGATATATACCCAGTAATGGGATGGCTGGGTCAAATGGTACTTCTAGTTCTAGATCCTTGAGGAATTGCCACACTGTCTTTCACAATGGTTGAACTAATTTACACTCCCACCAACAGTATAAAAGCATTCCTATTTCTTCACATCCTCTCCAGCTTCTGTTGTTTCCTGACTTAAAAAGGGGATTTTTAAATGCCTTTTTTAATTTTCCCCTCAAACCCCTTCCACTCAGTCCCCTCCACCCCCAGCTTTTCTGTCGCAGGAAATGAAACCACCTTACACTGTTACTCAAACCAAAACCCCAGGAGTCTTTGACTCTCCACCCACCCCAACCAATGCAATACATCAGGAAGTTCTGTTAACTCCATCACCAAGATACCTCCTAATGCTGTTTGTGACACCTCCACTGCTGCCATCTTGGTCCGAGATACCATCGTTTCTCTCCTAATCCCCTCCCTGCTTCCTCTCTGGCACCTGTAGTCTAGTTATAGCTCAAATGCCAGAGGGGTGTTTTAAAACATAATCAGAACATGTTCTTTTCACTCCAGGGGCTTCTAGTCACACTCAGAATCAAACCCAAAGCCTCTTCCTTCCTGGCCTCTGAGACGCTATATGAACTATCCCCGCCTGCCTCTCATCCCTTGGTAACACTATGTTATAGCCACACGTGCCCTGAACACACAGATCTGCCTCTCACCCAAGGGCCTTTGCACAAGCTCTGCCCTGTGCCAGACACATTCTTCTCCTAAGTCGTCCCATGTCTGGTTCCTTCTTATTCGGGTTTCAACTTCAATGCCATCCTCTTTGAGAGACCTTTGACCACTTAGATGTAGCCCCCAGTTCCTGCACCCCAGCTGTCATTTCCTTGCACATCTCTGTCTTATCTTCGTCATACCATTTACTATTATTACATATTTTCTCCTTATTTATACATTCCTGCCACCTCAGAATGTGAATGCCATGAGAATAGGGTCCTGGTCATCCCGTTCAGTGTTGCATCCCAGCACCCACAGCAGTCCCTGGCACAGAGTAAGTCTTCAGGATATGTTTGATGATTAAATGAATGAATGAATATCTTTTAGAAAGAGCCAGTCCTCTCCATAGACTGCAACCTAAATGATGAGACTCAGAAGTGTTTCAAAATCCCCATTGCCTAATAAGACATTTCAACTTTTAGATTAATTCCAGTGGCCACTGCCTTAAAATATCATTGTTATTGTAAAAAAAAAAATTACCTAAAGGAGAACAGAGGTCTTGTACTACGCTGTTAATTCTTCAAAACTTAAGACTGAGTTAGTTTTCAAATCATTTTTATCTTAGAAATCAAAGGCAGTTGGACCAAGGACAAATACATTATAATGAAAGTGTGAAAGAGAGAATATGAAAAGTTGGCTGCATGGGGGCATTGCCCAGTCAAGACAGATGTGGGTGAAACATCATGGGCAAGGAGGGGGTTTTCCCACGAGAGGCCAAAATTGGAGAGAGGGTGAAGAGAGGGTTTGCTGGGTGCTTCTCACATGCTAGCATCGTGTTAGTTGCCTTAGGAATAAGGAAGAAGTGAAGCACAAACTCTGGCCCTCAGAACCTTCTGGGAAACCTGATGCTATGGTAATTTCTGGTGAGGATGATCATGTTTAATAAACAAGGCACAAACATTTCAGCTCTGCTATATCCCCAGGCGTCTCTCCCAAAATCAGTTTACTTCTCTACTTTACAAGAAAAATCGGTTAGCTTCAGGGTTTATAAAACTCACTAAAACATACAAATGTAAAACCAAATGTTACCCTGCTGATTTGAAAGGGATTCTGGCATGACTTCTCAGATAAAGATACAAATACATTCTTTGTTCATTTCCATGAACGGCCTTTTTATGGCTTTTGAGACCTAGTCTAAGTCAGTAAAAGTCAGAATTTGTGTTGCTGATAGGTGTTGGCCTTGTAAAACTGGAAAAAAGGAATCACATTTTCTATAACATATGAATGCACAAGTGATTCATTCTTTGGCTCAGGATGGAAACATTTATTTTTGGCACTCTTGATTCTTCTTTCTTCATTAGCTTCACAGATTTTTCTCAATACGATGTCGACGTTGGATGGGCTTCATTCACAAGGAAACACCAAGATAAATGGGGTGACTAACATCCAACTATTTAAAACTTGTAAATATTTATGAGAAAATTATATCCGTCTTTGTGGGGATTTCTCTCTGAAACGTGGATGTAACTATTGAGGGCTCTAGCTTCCCTTTTAAATGGTGGATTCTAGTGTTAGTATTGCAGTGCTCTACAGCAAAATCAGTATGACCATTGTGTATAAAATAGCTACGCTGAATCTTGAATAAAAGGGATAATGCTTCTTTACTTGTACGACCCTTCCCACTGCTGAGCCTAGAACATCATATTTTGAGATCAGTGACCTAAGTCCTGGACCAGCAAGATAATTCGCAGGGCCCAGTGCAAAAAGGAAATATGGGGCCTTTTGTTAAAATATATATATATTAAAAATGTCAAGATGATAACAGAGAACATCAAACAAGCATGGAGCTCCTCTAAATGTGGCAACCTATGTGACTGTACAGGTCTCAAGCCCAGAAAGCTGACCCTGCACAAGCCCTCATTTGAGACCTTTGCTATGACTTGTTCAGGTGAATTAACGATTCTGCACCTACTTTGTCCTATCTGCAGAACAGGTGAAAAGAGTAACATATTTTCTATTAATCATGATGATTACCTATAACAACTGAGAGTTGATTTTTTAGTATACCAGTCAGGCAGGTAAAAGGCGATGCAACTTAGCATTGGGGACTGTCATCCCCAGTAAAAACTAGGAAATTTGTAAATGTCCACTTACTGGTTGTTACCCAAATAGAATAGACAGGGACAGTGGTCTGAGGATTGAGGTACAAATATCAGAAGGATGAGAAGAGTCATGAGAAAAATAATGAAAATACCTATAGTCTTAAAAAAATTTTTTTTTGAGACAGAGTCTTGCTCTGTCACCCAGGCTGGAGTGCAGTGGTGTGATCTCAGCTCACTGCAACCTCCAGTGAGCTCAAGCGATCCTCCTGCCTTAGCCTCCCAAGTAGCTGGGACTGCAGGCACATGCCCCCATGCCTGGCTAATTTTGTGTTTTTTGTAAAGATGGAGTTTTGCCATGTTGCCCAGGCTGGTCTTGAACTCCTGGGCTCGAGTGGTCCACCTGCCTTGGGTCTCCCAGAGTGCTGGGATTACAGATGCAAGACACAGTGCCCAGCCTAAATTTTTTATTACATATATTTTATTTTAGAGAAGAGGTTTCACCATGTTGCCCAGGTTGACCTTGAACTCCTGGGCTCAAGCAATCTTCCCACCTCAACCTCTGAGTAATCAGGACTACAGGTGTGCAACACTGTGCCTGGCTTATGTATTTTTTATTTTAAAAACAACTGTATAAGTTGAATGAGCCAGGCATGGTGGCTCGCACTTGTAATCCCAGCACTTTGGGAGGCAGAGGCAGGTGGATCACTTGAGGTCAGGAGTTCGAGACCAGCCTGGCCAACAGGGTGAACCCCCATCTCTACTAAATAAACAAACAGACAAACAACAACAAAAAACTCAACAACTGTGTAGGTTGAAAAGCCATCATAAGTCTATTTAAATAAGCAATTAAAAAAATATTTGATTATTTTTAATGTTTAAAGTGTTTCGTGGTCTTTTTAAAATAGGTTTTAAAAAACTGTGGTAATAATGGCCGGGCGTGGTGGCTCATGTCTGTAATCCCAGCACTTTGGGAGGCCAAGGCGGGCGGATCACGAGGTCAGCAGGTCGAGACCATCCTGGCTAACGCGGTGAAACCCTGTCTCCACTGAAAATACAAAAAATTAGCCGGGCACGGTGGTGGGCGCCTGTAGTCTCAGCTACTCAGGAGGCTGAGGCAGGAGAATGGCGTGAACCTGGGAGGCGGAGCTTGCAGTGAGCCAAGATAGCGCCACTGCACTCCAGCCTGGGCGACAGAGCGAGACTCCATCTCAAAAAAAAAAAAAAAAAAACCAAGTGTGATAATACACACATAACACAGAATTTACCATCATAACCATTTTTAAACCTACAGTTCAGTAGTTTTAAGTACATTCACACTGTTGTGTCACTGTTGGGACATGGAAAACAACACCCTAAAATGAAGGCCTCAGAAGCAGCCTGAGAAGCAAAAGGTTTTCTCTGACCTTCTCCTGCTCGCCTCCTGTCTCTCAGTCCCACTCTTCCCCGAGGGCAGCCATAGAAACTAGAATCCCTCTTCCCCACGTGGGTCCTAGAAACCAGAACCCCTTTTCCCGAAAGCCAGCTATAAAACCTAAAAATATTATCAAACTTTTCATCCGCCTTTCTTGTAAACCAAAAATAAAATTCTAAGTACTCCAACCATCTGAACAGACTCCTCCTCTTGGCAAGGGCATCCCAAAGTTAACCTGAAAAACAAGCTCAGGCCATGATGGGAAGGGGGAGCCAGACATGCCTCATTGTACCCTCTTCCTTTTAGAATTGTTGATAGAACAGACTCCTTAAGTCTGATAAGAAACATTTACAATCTGTTCTCTCTGAAGGCTTAACCTGCACGATAAAACCTTCGTCTCCACAATCCTTTATCATAACCCAGACATTCCTTTCTATTGATAATAACTCTTTCAACCAATTGCAAATCAGAAAATCTTTAAATCTCCCTGTGACCTGGAAGTCCCCACTTTGAGTGGTCCCACCTTTCTGGACCAAACCAATGTACATCTTACATGTATTGATTGATGTCTCATGTTTCCCTAAAATGTATAAAACAAAGTCGTGGCCTGACCACCTTAGGCACATAGGCAGGGCCTCTTGAGGCTGTGTCATGGGTGTGTCCTTAACCTTGGCAAAGTAAACTTTCTACATTGATCGGGACCTGTCTCATATACTTTTGGTTTACATTCTGTATAAAAACTGGTCATAAGGAAATGATCGGACCTACCTTGTTTGATTGTAGGTCATAAGACCCCCATTCCAGAAAGGGTCCTGTCCCATACGCAGAAGGAAGAAATGCTGCTCAGAGAGGCCAAGAAGAATCTAGACAGACAGGCCTTGCTGGGTTTCCTCACTCCATCTGTTAAAGTTACATCATACCCTTTTGTCCAGTCATATTTCTAAACAGCTCTACATACTTTTTGAACCTAAGCATAAAAATGTGCACTTTCCTCTGTCTTCATTCTGAAGGTTCCCATGTACACATTAAATGCATTTGTATGTTATTTCTCCTACTAGTCTGCCTTTTGTGAGTTGATTTTTCAGTGAAACTTCATAGGGAGAAGGGGAACTTTTCCCTTGGCCCCTAGATAACTAATCTCCAGAACATTCTCGCCTTGCAAAACTGAACTTCTATGGCTATTACACAACTTCTCATTTCCCCATCCCCCTAGTGCCTGACAACCACCATTCTACTTTCTGTCCCTATAAATTTGACTATTTTAGACACTCCCACCAGTGGAATTTTATAGTATTCATCTTATTGTAACTGGCTTATTTCACTTAGCATAATGTCCACAAGGTTCATGCATAGTATAGCATATGTCAGAATTTCCATCCTTTGAAATGCTAAGTAATAATAGTTCATGGTATGCATATACCACTGTGGGGGAAGAAAAAAATGTTTTCCTTTACCTTCTTAGGTTCAGTATCTGGGGCCCTGCAAATTAGACTGACAAAAGACAGATTAGCAGGAGGAAAGGTTTATCATGTATATATACAGGGGCCTTCCTAGAAAAGTGAAGGGGCAGAGAAGCAGTTAGACCTAAGAGGTGACACAGCATTTTGACAAACAGTGATACATTTGATACATTGCAGAGATTGACAAGACAAAGGAAAAGGGGGATTCCTAATGGTGGTAACTTGTGGGAAGGAAATATATAGGGAAATAAATAGAAGAAAAGGGTGGTTTAGTAAGGTTTGTTATATACATTCCTCTCCAGGTCTTTGGGCTGAAAAGAATCTAGAGTCATCTCCAGTGATGAAGAGTCCCGATGATTAATGAAACCACCTTTGCGAAGATTATGACAGCAAGAGGAGTCTAACATGACCAACTCCATCTTGCTTCTAGCCTCACAGACTGGCTGTCTTCACGCATTCCTGGGCATAGGAAGCTAACCATGGAAGGGATTTAGTTTCTAGTTTAATGTGGAAGCAAGGATGACAATCCCTCCCTAAAACTGATCCCCTCCTTGTTCAGGAGCTGAAACCACCTTTGTAAAACTGATGAAAGACCGCAAGATTAGAACTATGGGAGTGGCCTAAATTCTGCTAAAATATAGTTTCTATAATCCCTTACTACTCAGGAGTCATGTGGCCAGAGGTCACAAGATTTGTGACTTCCCCTATTGCTCCTATAGATAACATTATGATTGTAGAACTTAAGATTGATCTTTTGAGATGTTTTTCAGACTTTTGCATTTTGGCCACTGACCGACGCTACTGACTCATGACTCAGCCGGTCCCATGGCCCCCACCCAGAGGCAGACTCAGTGCATGAGGACCATCTTCCACAACCCTATGATTGTATCCTCAGTCAGTCAGCAACACGTATTCCCTAGTCCCCTACCCACCAAGGTATCCTTAAGAAACCCTAACCTCCAAGCCTTCAGGAAGACTGATTTGAGTAATAACTCCATCTTCCATGTGGCCAGCCTAGTGTTAATTAAACTCTTTCTTTACTGCAATACCACAATCTCAGTAAATTGGATTTGTCTGTGCAGAGGGTAGACCAAATCCATCAGGTGATTGCATTAAGAGTTGTTCTCTTCCTTGGCAAGGGAGAGGACACCTTTATAAACGCATAACCTAAAAATAAAATCCTAAGCCCACACTGACTGAACAGATCCTTCTTGGCCATGGAGACACAAAAAACCTTAAGAACTGAATTTCCAACCATGACAGCAAGTGAGGTTGAACACACTTTTTTATACTCCCTCCCTTCTGGAGTTTAGGCACAACTGACCAGTATTAATGTTAAAATAGAGATCATAAGACTGACAAAACAGACTCTTTGTGACAGTAAGATACCAAATTGTAAACAGGACCTATGACCATGCCAGACAAGGGTTAAGTCACATCCCTACAGGTCACTCTGACCCAGTGTATTGGGTAATGAACCTCCTTAACTTAAACATTCCTTTCTACCGACTTCAAATCTTTAGACAAAGCTTAATTTTTTCAACCAATTTCCAACTAAAGAATCCCCAAAACCCACCTATGACTTGTAAGTGCTCTTCTCCCCACCTCAGGATGTCCTGCCTTTTTGGGCTGAACCGATATTGTCTTCCATAAAGTGATTTATGTCTTTAGCTGTAATTCCTATCTCCTTGAAATGTATACAACCAAACTATAACCCGACTGCTTTGGACACACTTTCTCTGATTTTTTTTTTTTTTTTTTTGACATAGTCTCCCTCTGTTGCCCAGGCTGGAGTGCTGTGGAATGATCTCGGCTCACTGCAGCCTCTACCTCCGGGGTTCAAGTGATTCTCATGCCTCAGCCTCCCGAGTAGCTGGGACTACAGGTGCCCACCACCATGCCCAACTAATTTTTGCATTTTTAGTATAGACAGTGTTTCACCATGTTTGCCAGGCTGGTCTTGAACTCCTCACCTCAAGTGATCCACCTGCTTTGGCCTCCCAAAGTGCTGAGATTACAGGTGTGAGCCACTGTGCCTGGCCATGAGCGCACTTTCTCAAGACCACTTAAGGTTGTTTTTCTCCAGGTCATGGCCCTTCATGTTGGCTCTGAAAAATCTCTTTAAACTGTTTTGCAGACTTTGGTTTTTCCATTAAAAATGGAAAGTCATGTCCTGCTTTTAGCCAGATAGGGGGAGGGCAGAGAGTTTTTGTTTGTTTGTTTGTTTGTTTTTTGTTTTCTGTCTGCTGTTTCTTGATTGTCTTCAGCTCAAAATAATTCTTATGCCAAAGTGGCATATTTTGGGGTGTCATATTCTGGTTCCCTTCACCACATTTTGTTTATCCATTCATCCATTGATGGACACTTGGGTTGTTAGGCTTTTTAAAAATACTCCCAAAATGTCTTATCAAGACATTAATTTGAAACAAGTGCAGTGCTCTCTCTAAAAGGAATTCTACTGAATAAAATTTCTCCATTGTTACCAACAGCAGACTGTGTTTTGGCTGCCAGGTTAAAAAAGCAAGTTAAACCAGCATTAAGTAAATAATCGACCATTATTTCAGAAGGGTGTCTTCATCTATCTGAGAGTTCCAGAATCCCCATCTGCAAATGCTGGCTAAATAGTGATCTTCACTTGTCATTGCAACTCATTTGCAACTTGGTAGCTTGGAACCAGGAGAATTAGTGGAAGGTCCAGCAAAGAAGGAATTGATCTTGAAGGACAGTTTTCTTGCTGATATGACTTCATGGATCAATGAAGTTCATCAAATGAAATCTTTGTATACATATGCTAGAGTTAATGGAGTCCATAAACTTTTCATAAACATACTGAATATGCTGTGTTATGGAACTCCAGTGTTCCTGTGAGTTCCTTTGCTTCCTTTTCCCTTTACCTCATTTTCTTTAATCAGAAATACATGTGACTTCAGTCATATGTGAGGCTTCTGCTTGCCTTGTGTAAAGGAAATAAGTAAGGCCTATCCTACATAAGACAGCTCCTGTCCTAAATATTAATAAGAAGAGAAGGTGTAGTTCATCTGGAGTAGAAGGATGAAGAAGAAAGAGAGGGGATGTCTGAAGCCAGAGATCCATGTGGAGCATATTATAGACTTAGGTAAGTGAACAGCCATATCTTAATATTTGAGTTGATGAATGGGGCCTAACCATTATCAGCCAGACTGTTGAAGGGGACTAGCAGAAGTTGGAAGCATAGATAGAAAGAGAAGACAGGACAAATAATCAGCTTTTTGCTTCTATGTCTTGAACTGAGCTAACTTGGACATAAATTTGCTCCTGAGTCTGAAAGGCCATGTAGAAAAGTTAATAATAAGTCTGCTGAAGCTAATGACTAATATTCTGACTTCTGCTGCTTCCCTGGGTGAGTACGGGGTGGTGCAGTAAGGTGCAGCGTCATGTAGACTGTCACTGTGATAGGAAACAGAGCAACATTAATATCTACTGGTATTTAAGAGCTTCTCCGAAAGACTTAGAACTTTTTTCAGTTGAAGCTATGAATACTTTCACCTCATAACAGGTGTCCTTAGCTGAAGTCCTGGACCTTAAGTAGTGAAAGACTTGAGTAGACTTTTAGTTCAGATGGGACCTCTTCAAAAGAGATCTTAGGACCAGGGCTGAGCAAAGGTTGAGGCTGTGCAGAAACATCCCCAGGCAAATTGTCAAGTAAATGGGTTTCTTTTTTATTTTTATTTTTTTGAGACAAGGTTTCTGTCACCCAGGCTGGAGTGCAGTGGCATGATCATGGCTCAATGTAGCTTTGACCTCCGTGGGCTCAGGTGATCCTTCCGCCTCAGCCTTCCTGAATAGCTGGGTCTACAGGCACTCACCACCATGCCCGGCTAATTTTTGTATTTTTTGTAAAGATGGAGTTTTGCCTTATTGCCCAGGCTGGTCTTGAACTTCTGGGCTCAAGCAATCTGCCCATCTTAGTTTCCCAAAATGCTGGGATTACAGGTGTGAGCTCTGTGCCCAGCCCTAGGTTTCTTTTCTAATTCCTCTGACCTCCTCAGAGAAGGTTTGGAAACCTGGGTTATGGGGGTGGGGAGAATGAGCTACCCTCCTCAAATTCACAAATATTTCCTTAAACACAGATAATACAAATTTTTCATAATGCCATCAGAAATATAATTAGTATACTTGTCAAAGTGCTACAAGAATGTTGTACAAGTGTAATATGTCAAACATTTAAACCCAAACTCTTCTCCCCACATTGGGAACCCAGATTCAGACTTTAGGTCAATGCTTAGCTTAACATTTAATGTCTTATCATGGGCCTCTTATTTAGTATGCCCTAAAAAGCACATCAAAAAGAGAACAAATGTTTATGAAGGCAGGTGGAGCTCTTTTCTTTTAATGGATCATAAAGCAATGAGCTTCCCTGGGTTTCATTGGCGTTAGCTAATGTGACAGGGTGTAGATTAATAATTTAAAATAGAAATATACTTGGAACTAGTTCACTGTTGGATCAGAGTCATCAATGAAATAAGGAAAGGTGATTTTCTCCTTTACCCTCCCAGGAAGGCAGGCAGACTGGCTTTTATGTTCTGGAGTTCTGGACTCTCTCACCTCTTGCCCCACTCCAGATCACTGGGTGGCTGAGGCTATAGCCCCTTGAAGACTGGAGGTTTATCTTCTAGAGAGGGCAAAATAGAGTCTCTGGAGTGAGAGATACCAGACATAGGTGAAGGAATGGTACCCTCTGTGGAAAGCATAGGTGTAGCGGCTGCTTGCATTTTAATGCCCATGATGCAGGTACTCCAGACCTGTCTCCCACTCAGCTCCCAGAATCTGACAGTTTCCCAGACCTTACCCTCCAGGCAAGAGGCTGGAAGACTCTTCTCTGGGAAATTTCCAACCAGCCCAAAGGGAAATACTTTTAAATACTGACATGGAGGTTAAGGGTGGGGATGAGGGGAGTCAAAAAATAGTCTACCCAAAGCACCTTGGACCTAGAGTAAAGGTCAAAATTAATAAGCCTCAGCTTTGAACTTCCAATCAGTCTTTACTCCCCCATCCTCAATCTGGAGCTTTAGTAAGGAAAATAGGCAAAATTACTATACTCCATCAGCTTATATTCTAATGGCCGTGGGAATGGGTTGGGGGCAGAAAATAACGAAATAAAATATATAGTATATTAGAGAGTGATAAATGCTTTTGGACAAAAATTGGGTGGTGGTAGTTATGAAATGCCATCTTTGGAGGGCATTGCATTAGTGGATTAAGTTTGGGTCAGGGAGAGAGATAACATGATCTATTCAACCTGCCCTCTTCACCTGGAAGCTTCGCATCTGAACTACTTTCAAGTTCCTGAAATAAACCTGCCTGTTTTGGCCTTGAGGCCTCTGCTGTATTCGGTTCCCTTGATCTAGAAAACTAGACTCTTCTGCTCCACCTTGCGTGCCAGCTTCTGCGGAAGAATGAGATTTGGGGTTGTGCTTGAAATTAATTGGCTTAGCCTTACCTATTTATTTTTATTTGCATAAACTATACAAGGAAAAAGCTTCAAATACTTTCCTTATGTCAAGAAAACCCACAGGCCTTTATACTGGTTGAGTTCATTATAACAACACCAGTGAGGCCTTGCTGGTTAATTATCATGGGGTTGGTGAGCAAGTTTAACCTCGTGTGACAAACACAGTTTGCAACCTCAAGTGAACAAACACGATTCTCTACAACAACATTCGACAGTGTAGACTGCAGTTCTGCGGTACGAACATTTGCAGTCTCCAGATTATAAATCAACAGCCCTTCAAACTGGAAAAACATACCTCTGAATATTACAGGGACACTCTTTGCCCTTCTTAGTAAATAGAGGGAAATCTAAGTTTATGATTACAAGATACAGAATGATTATAGATTTAATGTAAATTTAATGGTAACAAGCATGTAAACATTCTCTAAACTTCTGTATTTTTTAAATCGGGGGTAATGACTAATCTAGTGAAGTTAAAAGTACTTTTTTCACAACTCAAAGTTTCTTATTAAGCACCACTAAAAGCCTATGGCCTCAACTAAAATTTAAAATGCGGATGTGTGCAAAAATTTGAAATTTAATTTAATTTTACCCTCTATATCTCAATTTAATCATTATTGCTCCAGGAAGTCTTCTCTGATCTTCCAAGAAGGGAACTGCAATCTGTTTTAACCCATGACCCACTTATGACTTTGGAATTGCCTATTTCTTTTCTTTCTTTTTTTTTTTTTTTGTACACACCAGTGTACAAAAACATCCACCTCCAGGATTCAAGCAATTCTCCTGCCTCAGTGTACACCTCAGGAGGCCAGACACTTCTAAGAGCAAGAAATAAGTTTGTCTTTTCCTCAGCTCAATCCCCAAGGCTCAGTACAGTGGCCAGCCCTTGGTGAGCACAAAATAAATATTTGTTGAGTAAATGACTAAATATGCAAATGAACAAAAAGTTAAGAATCATAATAGGGAATGAAATAGTTTATAAAATTTTAAATCTCAGCAGTTGTTAGCTATTATTTATCAAAATGTTCACTTAAATTTAAAATAACATTAAAAATGCTAGATTAAAAACTTAAATATTGGACTCTGTTCAAATGTCACTTTCTCAATGATGCCTTCTTTGACCATCCTACATAAAATTGCACCTGAGTCATTGCCTTGCCATTATGCTTCTTCTTTTCCTGGTGCTTGCAGAACAACTTGACTCTGTATTTCATATATTTCTTCTGTCTTCCCAACTTTATGGAAGCTGTATGAGAGCTAGGATCCCAATTTATTACCATTGCATCCTCAGGGCCTAGAACAGTGCCTAACACATGGTAGCAGCACATTTAACTTTAAATTTACCTTATTAAAGGCTAATGTTAATGGAGAGTAATCGCTGGGGTGAGGATAGAATAATTTAAGACTTCTTAAAAATAAGAAGTGTACCGGCTATTATGTAAAGTCTAGTGCTTTAAAATGTTTAAAAAACAATTATTATTATTATTGTTTAGAGACAGGGTCCTGCTGTATCACCCAGGCTGGAGTGCAGTGGTGCAGTCACGTCTCACTGCAGCTCGACCTCCTGGGCTCAAGCAATTCATTCACCTCAGCCTCCTGAGTAGCTAGGACTACAGGTGTGTGCCGCCATGCTAGACTAATTTTTACTTATTATATATTTTTATTTTTATTTTTTTTGTAGAGACAGAGTCTCACTATGCTGCCCAGAGTGATCTTGAGCTTCTCAAGTGGTCCTTTCTCCTGCCTTGGCCTCCCAAAGTGGCAGGATTACAGGCATAAGCCACCATGCCTGAATTCCAGTGCTTTTTAAACCAGTTTGACCACAGTCTTACAATAGGAATGCATTTTATGTAGCAATGTGGCACATCCACTTGAAGTAATACTTACCTTTTCTTTTGCAAGGTAATACTTACCTTGCAATGCTCTTTTCTTTTCCCTTCCATTCTAGTTCATTAAACAAAAAAAAAAGACTGGGAGCAGTGGCTCACACCTGTAATCCCAATACTTTGGGAGGCTGAGGTGGGCGGATCACAGGAGGCCAGGAGTTCGAAGACCAGCCAGGCCAATATGGTGAAACCCCATCTCTACTAAAAATAACAAAAATTAGCTGGGCGCGGTGGCGTGTCGCTGTAATACCAGCTATTCAGCAGGTTGAGGCAGGAGAATCACTTGAACCGGAGAAGTGGAGGTTGCAGTGAGTTGAGAGCACGCCATTGCACACCAGCCTGGGCAACAAGAGTGAAACTCCGTCTCAAAAAAAAAAAAAAAAAAAAGCCAGTCTGATCCACTAACTTCATGACTCACTAATGGTCATGATCATGATTCACACTTTCAAAAGCACTGATTTAAAGTGCTTTTACTTAATAAAATACCCAACTTATGAAAACAAAATAATGACTGCCTTCCCTATGACACCATAAGTATGTCCTGAAAGTTTTGCGATAGTTCTATTGATGGCTGAAAATAGATCAAGAATTAGTTTCAGCTCATTCAGCTTCTTTTATTTTTTAAGGTCTTTTGGACCACAATGTAATCCAATTAAAAAATATTTTGTTCATTCATAAAGGAATTTTATCCTGTGTAAATAAAATTTCTTAATGGCCCAACATATTAGTTACAATTACTTTTATGGCATTTAGGAAAAAGAGGAAATTAAAAAGTCCTTATATTTGAAGTATCAGCATAAATGAAAATGTCTTTGGCAAGAAATGATTATAATAAATTTGTAGGGCATTACATTTCTGTTTTTTTTTTGAGATGGAGTCTCGCTCTGTCACCCAGGCTGAAGTGCAGTGGCACAATCTCCGCTCACTGCAAGCTCCGCCTCCTGGGTGCACGCCATTCTCCTGCCTCAGCCTCCCGAGTAGCTGAGACTATAGGCGCCCGCCACCACGCCTGGCTAATTTTTTTTGTATTTTTAGTAGAGACTGGGTTTCACCATGTTAGCCAGGATGGTCTCAATCTCCTGACCTCGTGATCTGCCCATCTCAGCCTCCCAAAGTGCTGGGATTACAGGCGTGAGCCACCGCACCCAGCCTACATTTCTTAGCAATCTTAAAACCTTTCATTATTTTATGATAAGGTAGCACTTTAGACGGGAGAAGGTTTTAGACCCTGAGTTTTGATATGAGATTATATTATACTACATTGTCTAGGAATGAAAAAAAATCATATCATAGTAGTCATCATCTATTGTATCACAGTAGTATGATAGTAGTTTGAGGTCTGTCTCATCAAAGCATGGATGAAAATGTTCTTCATTTGACCAGAATGTCCATGTCCCTTAGAGCCAGCATTCTTATTCTCTGGACAGCCCTGGACTCACAGGTCAGACCTGCCTCAAAACAAACGATTCTGTCCCTCTGCCAGGAAAGCTACTGCCCAATCTCTCTACTTCCCACCATCATCATTTGAATATCCACTCAAAGGTCACTTTCTAGCAGACAGACCTCTGTTGCTTCCTCCCCGCAAGCCCAAGCTGAATCAACTCTCCTGTCATAGTAGTCATCATGGTAGTTAATGTTGATTATTACTGAAAAGGAAATGGTCCTTTTCAGGCAAAAGGCATGCACAACAATACACAAAGGAGGAAATACAAATGACCAAATAACATATGGAAAAGTGTTTAATCTCACTGTAAATAAAAATATATACAAATTAAAACAACAGTGAACAAAATTCTTAACTTATTAATGTATCAAATATTTTATAAAATTGTTTTTTATGTATTCATTTTTGTAAATGAGACGCCTAATATGAATGAGGAAACAAGGAAGTGGCTATTGATACATTGCAGGTAGGGATGAAAATTGCTACAAGCCTTTTAGAAAATAATTTTGCAATGTAACCTTAAAATGTTTATTATGGTAATTCTACTTTGTAAATCTATCCTAAAGGCATGACCTGAAATTTGGAAAATGTTTTTTTCATAAAGTTAGAAATCATAATATTGTTTAAAATAACAAAAATATTGGAAACAAGGTTTGCAAAATGATTTCCTAATCACATCTTAGAATATTATTCTGCCATTAAGATGAAGTTTATAAGAGTTTTTAATATTATGAGGCAATGTGTACTGTTACAGTGTTAACAGTATACATTGGTATCTTTACACCGTATACTGTTAACATTGTATTACAACATCCCATATTGCCAGATAATGTGCTAGAGAATGTTCTCACTCAGTACTTCTATTCAAAATCATCTCATCTAGTTCTTTCAACTTATAGATGCACAAAATTTTGGAATGAATGAATTCCGAAAACAGTGAGATTGTAACATTTCTTTTTCTTTTTTTCAGACAGAATCTCGCTCTGTCACCGGGCTAGAGTGCAGTGGCATGATCTTGGCTCACTGCAACCTCCACCTCCCGAGTTCAAGCTTTCTTTTCTTTCTCTCTGTCTTTTTTTTTTTTTTTTTTTTTTTTTACTGAATCTATATGCCTTGAAAATTATAACATTTCCTGATATAGAAGTCTAGAACAAGAGACATGAACTATGAAACTTATTCAGTTTCTACCCTTGGAAGTGTCATTATTTTAAGAGAGCATGAAATTGGCCTTATATTCACCAACAACTCTTTTCTAGGATATTTTTGACTTGAGGCAAATATTTTGTGGAATGGTTGACAGACTGTTATTCTGGTCACTCAATTATGAAAGCAGACAAAAGTGAAATTCAGGGCGGCATCTAGAGGGGAGAAAATCAATGACTCAGGTAAGTTTACCAGCCACAGCTAAAGAGGGAGGTGCACACTGGAAATCTGCAAGCATCATCTTCCCTCACCCATGTCTCTTCTTCCAAGACACATGTCCAACTCCAGACTTAATGTGTTTGTTTGTGACTTCTCCCCTTAAAGGTTGCTTGGGTTTACTTGTACCGGTTTAAAAATGTCCTCATGAGTAACTGCCTTATTCAGCAGCCCCAGCATAAATAAATCTTGACTTCTACCGTTCTTGGCTAGAGACAACTCTAAGCCTGGATGGCCTACTCAACCCAGCAGGTTGGTAGCGTGACAGGAGGCACAGTGTTACAATAGCCACTAGAGCACCTCGACTCAAATACCCAAAGCAGCAGTTTAATGATGGTATTTTTTCCTTTAAAGGCAATGATAGCTAAGCAGCTGTTTTATTCTTAGAGAAGTTCTATGACAGGAATTGGAAGAAGTGTTTCCTATTTTGCAGCTAAAAATGTGATTATTTGGATTGAGGATTGCTTACTGCTGTAAATTTAATGTTAAAGAAATCAAGAATGTTTCATTTTATCGTATCTTCTGTCAAAGAAAATGACAGAAAATATAATAAAACTGCAGTTCATGACCTTCGGTAAGCTATGAAATAATTTAGGAGGTCATGACTAGCAAACTTATTTATTATACTCTAAGTACTATAACTTTATAATATCTTTGCTAAAAAATCATGTAATGGATATTAATTATGTATTAAGGACCAAATCTGCATTTTTCCTGAAAATAATGAACAAAATCTATGTATTATGTAACAGTCTAAAATGTTTAAAATTCATATTTTAAGTACTAATGCATATTGATTACAGAGAGTAAAAAGAAGATTACACTTGCCCATAAACCCAGCAGCTACAGACAAATGGGCTATTGTTAATATATTGGTAATTTTCTGTCCATATGCTCTTTCTCTGCATATATAAAAATATATGATATTTTTTCCTTTCAAAATAGGGTGATTCTAGTAAATTTTTCACCCATGCGTTGTCGACATCTTTCCATACCTATATAGTTCTACCACATTATTTTTAATAATGGCATATATTCTGCATTATGAGTATATTATAATATATTTAACGAAACTGCTCAGTTTTGGATATTTATAAACCAATGTTTTTTAGTCTGCAGTTCATGACCCTTAGTAGGCTATGAAATAATTTAGGAGGTCATGACTAGCAATCTTATTTA